>NC_000005.10:178619791-178770237 GCF_000001405.40 Homo sapiens | reverse complement strand
GCTTAGGAGAGAATTTACCTCTTTCGTTGCTGAGCTAAGGAGGGGCCCAGCCTCCACAGGGAGGTGACACGGCATGGCCCCAGCCTGCCCATTCGGGAACTGGACCCACTTCAGGGTCAGAAGAGGACAATTGAGGTCCCATCTGCAAAGTCTTGGGGCCTTGCTGAGGCAGGAGAGCTTGTTGCAGGTCTGACCTTTCACATGGTGCTTGCGGAGAGTGGGCTACCCTCCTCCCACCACCCCAAGAATAGCCTGAGACCAGGGCCTTCCCAGCGGTGGGAATGGGAGGTGGCCTGTCTCTGTCTCTGCGTGGAGAGACACTGCCACTTCTGTTCCCTGGGAAGCCAGCACCATTTTCAGTATTTGTGGGAGGCCTTGGCGAGTGCTCAGGAGATATTTGGGCCCAGAGCCAGCCCCACTCCTCGTGTTGAGTAATACTGATCCATCTCTGGCCTGTGACTTGAGGAGAGGAGCCCCTCACCCGCCCGCCACAGCTCAGGGTGATGATGCGGCACCCTGATGATGATGATGTGGCGGGGACTAGGGAGGCTCTTGCCGGCGTGGTCGTTGCCGCCAGCCTTCACAGCGGCTCCTCTGAGGGTCTTCGTGCACAGGGGCTCTGTCACAGCCCTGGCTCCCACTCTGTCCCCGAGGCATGACTTTGGGCAACTCACTTAGCGTTCAAGCCTCAGTTTCCTCATCTCTAAGATGGGTTGACAACAGAGACTCTCTGGTGGTGCCGTGGGCCACGGGGTGCCCGAACGCAGCCCTCCTGCCTCTGTTTCTGTGCTGCCTCCGCTCACCATCACCTTCATTCAGAGTAGGTGTGCACGCCGTGCAGTGCCCTTCCACACACCTGATCTCAGTTGCTCTCTGCTCAAATGTCAGAGAGGCTTTCCCTGCATTTCCTGTTTGAACAGTGTCCTGGCCTCCATCTTTAGCTTTGACAGTGTTTGCCATGGACTGAGGGTGAGCTCTTGTGTATGTTCATGTCTTTCTATCTGGAGTGGGGGCTCCTTGAGGACAGGAACCTCGTGGGTTCACCACCTCCTCAGAGCTCAGCTGACTGCTTGGAAAACAGCAGGTGCTTGTGGTGTCTGGTGAGTGAGTGGTGGGTCGGGAGCTGGTCCTCTGACCCTTATGAGGTGGGACAAGCTTGTGTTCCTCAAGCCCATCTTACAGATGAGGAAACACAGAGAGATGAGGGGTCCTGCTGAAGGAAGTGGTGTCCGTAGCCAGCCCCACCTTCTGCTCACCTGGAATAAAGACCTGGGGACCCCGGGCGGGTCATGGCCAAGTGGAATGGACTCCTGACATTTGAGGGCTTCCTGCCTGCAGCCCCCAGGCAGCCATGGCTGTCCAAGTCCAGCGGGCCTTTGCTCAGGACGTGGCTGGGATATCTGGCCCTTCCTGCCAGGAGGCTGCTGGGCTCCTGTCTATCTGGGGAGGCCCCGTGCAGGGGTAGGGGGTGGAGGCTTCTTTTCTCTTTCCCTTTCCTCTGCCTTTCCCCTCTCCCTGGAGGAAACGGTAGCAGGATTTCTTTTAAGGGGAGGCCGCTATATTTTACCAGCAGGTGGAAGGTGGCGTTATTCGTGCCCACGAGCTGCACATGGACCCCTGCATGAAGCGTAGTGGGGCACAGAGCAGGCGAGCCATTTCCATCTCACAGCGGGAGGGCCGGCGACACCACACGAAGTGACATGCAGGCCCTCCTCGGAAGCCGGCGCTTAGATCCCTAATTAGTTCACACGTCGACTGAATTTTTCAGGTGAATGAATTTTAATTACAGCTCAGGTTAAAAAAAAAAAAAAAAAGGCACCAGTGATCCAGAGCTCAGGCAGAGGAGCCCTACTGGGCTCTCTTGCTCTTGAGGTTTTCTAGCCCACAACACACCCACGCCACCAAAGGCTCGTTTGGATTCAAGGTGAAACACATGTGCCACGAATCTTAGAGGAGCTCTGAATGTTTGGAAAGGGTGCAACTACGAGAAAAAGTAACGCACCGTCTGCTGCAGATGGCTGGCTCCGAGGAGGAGTTCATGGGAACTTGGGGATGCTCTTGCCCGTAGCTCTAGGAAGCTGGGCCACTTCTGAAGTAATGGCAGCAGCTAGTCTTTATCATAGAATAATGTAATAAAATGTATAGAGAAGTAAAAGTATAAATAAAAGTAAAATCATCATAAAACATAGTAGCTAGGCGCTTCTGAAGCTGTGCGTGCACTGACCTGTTTACCCCCTGACTCACAGCCCTACAGCCTAGGTGCTGGCACCCCCACTTTCATTCAAGGAAATGAACCAGGTTCAGGAATTCACCCAGCATCCCCCAGATGTGGTGGTGGCAGAAGCCACATCTTCCCTGAAAACTTTCTTGCTCAGGGTGCCTGCTCAGATTTAGGAATGATCTTATGTCTGCATTTTCATCCTGGTCAGGCAGAGCCTGGACCCTGAGAGACACTTTTTTTATGTTCCCATCTGGAATATGCACTGCCGGGGTCAGTGGGGTGTCTTGAGGGCCCTCTGGAGGTCAGCTTGGATGTGACACATGCAGCGGGTCCCAGTGGGGCCCATTGAGGTGTGCAGCGTTAGAAAAATGAAGGTGCTCATGGTGACCTCTGGGCATCTCTGAAATAGCCTCACTTTCTCAATAACTGTGCCAGGGGCAGTGTGGGAGGGTTTCAGGGAGTGTTAGACTTGGGTTTCAGCACCAGGTCTTGAAATTGCCTTTCAGAAATAGGTTTTGCAGACCTAGCAGGGAGAGGGGCGTCTTGGAGCTGAGACTCATTCACTCTTGGCTCTCCGGGTGGAGGCTGGGCCTTTTGGGCCTGGATATACCCAGGGCCGTGCGTTTTCCCCGCTTCAGGTTTAAGTGCAGTTTCTTGTTTTTTTCTACCCTTCCCTCGCAGTACACGCTCAGTGGCAATAAAGTGGAAGTTGCCGTCAAACAGATCATCGCTCGAAAAGCCATGGAGCAACGAGGTGCTTTCTCGAACCCCGAGGCCCTGCATCTGTACTGGGACATCCCTGAGCTGAATGGCTTCTGAGTCGGACTGGCTGGCACAGGGAGGATGGAAACCTTGAATGGCCTGGCGCAGGAGTCCCTGGCTTGCAGGCAAGCTGTGCTTAAGGGCTGCCGGTGGGAACTGGCACCTGAAAGAAGGCATTTGAAGAGGGAGGTGGTGGGTGCTCCTGCCTCACCCAGGCTGGGGTGGAGGGAACTGCAGTTTTGGTAACGACTCCTGGGTCCTCTCTGTGCCTGTTGCTAAGGCTTTTGTCCGCTGGGCTGTCTGGTGGCTAAAGGATATGGCTTCTACTGTGTGGTCTGCCGAGCTGTCCTTTTGCAACAGGGCCTGAGACCACTGACTTCAGGGGCTGGAGTCACAGTTGTGTGGGCTTTGGGCTGGGTTCTGCTGAGCCCTTGGGGCCTAGCCATTTCCTGCCAATAATAGCTAACACTGCTGTAGTACATACCATATGCTGGGTGCTGTTCCAGGGCCACGATCCTGAGTATAACCCTAGAAGGTAGGTGTCATCATTATCCCTATTTGGAAGATGGGGAATAAGGCCCAAGTTCAGGGAGCTTGCCCAAGGTCACATGGGCTAGGGCCAGCCCTTTTGGAAAGAGTTCCCAAGAAGGATAGTGAGACTCCCTCTTTTGATATCGTGGGTACTTCCTGAATATCTAGATTGATCAAAAAAATCATACCCCAGTGAAGAAGATCAATTACGTGTACATTTTCCAAGTCACTTTGACATTGTCACAAACTCACATGCTTGAGCCTCTAATTCGATTTTGAGTGAGAATCATTTCATGTGTCATGAAATTTCAAAAGACAACGTTCAATGAATGGTACTTCCCATTATTCCAGCTTGATTGAAATTGTGGGTTTCTAAAAAGATACTATTTATACTTTTAAGACAATGGAGCTTTCAAAAGGTTTCTGACTCTTAAGTCTTCTTATGTGATTTCTAAGGAAGTGGAAATTTTCAAATTTTCATTATGAATGTGTCTTTATGGCTTTCCTTCTTTTCCTTTGTTCTTTCTTTACATATCCTGACTCGACAGTGTTTCTCTCGCCCTTGATGGGAGCTTCAGGTTCTTGCCAAAGTATGTATCACATAATTGCTTTCATGTTCAGACACGGCAAGAGTGGGTTGTAAATGACTGCGACGCCGATGTCACAATTCTGTTAGGCCTGGTTGACCTTGCAAATTGAATTCAGGGAGGGCAGTGCTTCTATCTGGCTGCTAGATTTATTGTTCCCAGTCTGGGGAGAGGCCTGGGGAGGCGTGGTATGGGATTTCTGTGCCTAGGCAGCCACTCCAGCTTGTCCTGTGCTGCCTCCCTCCTTTCCATCTTGGTGTCTTCCTCAGCTCTCGAAACAGAAGGCAGCAGCCCATGATTGATGGGCTCCGGCCCGCTGGGGTGTTATTAACCACTCTGTCAAGGTGACAATGTCATTTTTAATGTTCCATCTTCAGACTTGAGGCTTATTCTTAGGTTGAGAGTTAGCCAACCTTGACAGAGATAGAACCCCTAAAAGTTTAAGACGTGGTTCTTGACCCTGGCTGCTGGGGAGCTTGCAACAATACCGGTTTCCATGAGGGTACCTTCTGGGATGCAGGAAATGTTAGATGTCTTTATCCACGTGGTGGTTACTTGAGTTCATATATGTGTAGCAAAAACTTGGGCTTTGGTGAGGATATGGAGAAACTGAACCCTGGTGCCTTACTGGTGGGAATGTAAATTGGGGCAGCTGCTGTGGAAACACACTGGTGGCTCCTCAAAAAGTTAAACATGTAATTACCCTGTGAGCCAGGAATTGCACTCCTAGGTATATACCCAAAAGAACTGAAAGCAAGGACAGAAGCAGATGCTTGTAAGCTAATGTTTGTAGCAGCGTTATTCACAACCACCAAAAGGTGGAAACAACACAAGCATTTGCTGATGAATGGTTACTGTTCTGTCCCTACAATAGAATGTTATTCAGCCACGAAAAGGAATGAAGTTCTGACACACACTGCAATGTGTATGAACCTTGAACCCATTATCGTGACAGACACTGGTCACAAAATGACAAATACTGTATGATTCCACTTACATGAAATACCCAGAATAGTCACATTCACAGGGACAGAAAGTAGACCAGAGCTTATTCAGGGAAGGGGAGAGAGAAGGAATGGGGAGTGAATATTTAATGGGTACATAGTTTTAGTTTGGAATGATGAAAAGTTTCTAGAAATGGATGGTGGTGACTTTTGCATAACACTGTGAATGTACTTAATGCCACTGAACTGTACACTTAAAAATGGGTGGAGTGGCAAGTTTTACGTTATGTATATTTTACCATAATAAAGATATTTGAGATGTACAGTTAAAATTTTTGCTGTGGACTATAAATGTATGTTTTACCTGAATTGTAAAATCTGATTTCTAGGCCCTACTCCTAAGGATTCTGATTTTTTTTTTTTTTTTTTTTTTTAAGACAGAGTCTGACTCTGTCACTCAGGCTGGAGTGCAGCGGCATAATACCGGCTCACTGCAACCTCTGCCTCCCAGGTTCAAGAGATTCTCGTGCCTCAGCCTCCCGAGTAGCTGGGATTGCAGGTGTGCACCACTTGTCCAGCTAATTTTTGTATTTTTAGTAGAGATGGGGTTTCACCGTGTTGCCCAGGCTTGTCTCGAACTCCTGACTTCAGGTGATGATTTTAATAGTTGGGAGAAAACTCTGGGCATCATTATCTTTAAAAACTTTAAAAACTTACCATGAGGAATTTATAGTTGAGGAAAAGAGGCAAAACTTAGGCATGAAAACCCCTCAAGAATAAGAATTGTGGAATCAAGGCTGGGCCATGTGCTGTATGAAGGCCAATGAGTTGTGAGTGGAAGGGACGTATCATTTTTACGTCACAGGTCTTAATTGCTGATGTAAGAGTCTCCAAAGCTCTCTTTTCCCTTTGGTCATGTTTGACATGGGGGCTGCTCTGTCCCCCTGGTCCTGAGTGATACAGGTTCTGACACTGGGCCTGGAATGATGAGTGGGATTGAAGGAGTATAGGAATTGAATGATCCTATGTAACATAAGTGGGGCAACAGTGTCACGGAAACTCATACATGGGGAAAGCTTTGTGAGTTTCTTGGGCTTTTCCTCATGGTCACAAGATGGCTGCTGCAGCTCCGGCACCACATCCTCAAATACTTAAAGCAATGAGGCAGCCAGTGCAGTGAGAAGTCTCTTTGAAGCCCGTTCTTATTTGACCAGGGGGAAGTTTCTCCCCAGAAAGATTGTCAGCAGCCTTCTCCTCCGACTCATTGGCTAAGAACTGTATCTCATGGCCACCGCTAGCTCTAGAGGAAACTGGGAAGCAAGTATCTGTATTCCTTTCCTTTACTTTCTGTGTTTTGATATAATTTCAAATTAAAGTTTCAAAAATAGCACTAACAATTCTAGATAATCTTCACTCAAACTGCCCAAATGTTGGCATTATGTGACATTTGCTTAATCCTTTTCTCTCTCCTTACGTACACACACATACACACGTACTTATGTGTATTTTTTTTCTAAATGGTTTGAGTCAACTGCACACACAATGTGCCTTTGTCCCTAAATACTCTATTGTGAATTCCTGAAAACAAGGATATTCTCACCAGGCACAGTGCCTCATGCCTGTAATCCCAGCACTTTGGGAGACTGAGGCAGGCAGATCATGAAGTCAGGAGTTCGAGACCAGCTTGACCAACATGTGAAGCCCCGTCTCCACTAAAAATACAAAATTAGCCGGGCATGGTGGCACATGCCTGTAATCCCAGCTTCTCAGGAGGCTGAGACAGGAGAATTGCTTGAACCCGGGAGGCAGAGGTAGCAGTTAGCTGAGATCGCGCCACTGCACTCCAGCCTGGGCGGCAGAGCAGCAAGACTTCGTCTCAAAAAAAAAAAAAAAATTCTTTTTTAGCTATACTTTCTAAGAATCTCTTGGTGTCAGGCTCCCAGAGAACCCCACAGAATATAGACAGTAATGGATGGCATTGTCTACCCTCAGTGAACTTCTTGCCCAACAGGAGGGAAGGAACAAGTATTTCTTGTTCATGTACTACATGTCAAGCCTCGAGTTAGCCACTCACATTCACTCTCTCCTTCAAATTAGCATATCAGCTCTGGGAGGCCAGTGCTGTTACCTGGATAATGATTTAGGGGGCTTTGTTCCTTTCAAACCAGAGGAACCATTCATAGCTTTCTCCAATTCCTGGGTCGGCCTCTCCTCACCTCACTTGAGTATGGTTGTTTTAAAAAAGAATCTGAAATATTTTTTATCAGGTGTTTCAAGGAGCTAATTATGAACTTCACTGTAATTGTTCATTAGTTATATTTTGTTCAGTTACCTTAGCAATTTGCCAAATGGAGCACAAAGCTGGCCTTGCTGCTTTCCCTGGGGCTGCTGGTTTCTTGCCTTTGCTGCCGTCTGTGTCTCTGCTTTTTTTCCTTCTCCTTGAAGTGAATTCTATGGGCCTGAACCCAGTGCTCCACTCCCTTTGTTGTGAGGTGAGTTCCCAGGCAGTGTTCTAGCAGGCTTCTCATCTGTTTCAGTCGCAGAGACCTTGGGACAGTTAGTCTCTGCCAAACCTCCTACAGGCCAGGGCTTGCTGACCACAGGCACGTGCTGCGGTCCGTGATGGCGGGCATGCTCGCACTGCGTCTGGAGGTTGGGCACTGCCTCTTGGCTTCTGCTGTTGGGAGCTCACATCAATGGTGGCCACACCCCCGATCCATCATACCTGGCCTACAAAGGAGAAAGCCACAGACCTTCTAAGGATGCAGGTGTTCCCCCCATGAATGTATTTCTCAACACCTTAGTAAAGAAGGCATTTTCTGGGGTCTCCTGGGGGATGTAGTTGGTGGGTAGGCGTGCAGGTTGCCGTGGTAAAAATCCTTTCAACATTTCGTCTCCCTAGGCCTTCAGATTCCCTCCTCCAACCATGCCAGGGCAGCTCTGGCATCTCTGCCCACTCATCTTAGGCCACCATGGAGTCCTAGTTCCAGCCACCAACCAAATAAGCTTTGAGAGCCACCTCCAGTTAAGCAAACTAACACGTGATATCCAAAATCTTAGTGTACCTAGGTCAGGGAGTTCAGTCTACTGTAGGTCATGTTCTTCTGCCTGCCTTGGTCTGACACGCTCACACACTCCCTAGGTTTCTGCCAACATAGATTGGCAACATCTTGCAGTTCTCTTGGTGTAAAAGCAATCTCATTCTAGGCCATAGTGGGTACTAAAAATCTAAGATCCTAGTTGTGAGTCTGGTGCCAACTGGTGGTAGTTGTGGTGGGTCTGAAGGAGAATAGGCATCTCCTCATGTGAGATTGTCATACAGTTTTCAAGAAAAGGGCAGCTAGTCTCCTTAGACACAACAGAGCAAGCTCCTTCGTTTGGCAAAAGAGGCTCAGAGTGACTTGTGGATTCAAGATTCTCAGTTTCATCTGAGTCCCACCAGATGTCCCCATTCTAAGCTTCAGCATCCTCTTTTTCAATTTTATCTATTTTATTTTTTTTTGAGACAGAGTCGCCCAGGTTGGAGGGCAGTGGTACGATCTTGTCTCACTGCAACCTCCGCCTCTGAGGTTCAAGCAGTTCTCAGAGACAGGGTTTCACCATGTTGTCCAGGCTGGTTTTGAACTCCTGACCTCAGGTGATCCACCCAGCTCAGCCTCCCACTGTGCTGGGATTACAGGCGTGAGCCATGGCGCCCAGTGGGTCTGGATTCTTTTTAAGTCTGATAAGAAACATTTACAATCTATTTTCTCCGAAGCCTACTACCTGGAGGCTTCACCTGCGTAATAAAAACCTTGGTCTCCACAACCCCTGAACCCAGACCCTCTGTTCTGTTGATTTCAGGTCTTTAGATAATGATTTAACTCTTTCAACCAACTGCCGATCGGGAAATCTTTGAATTCATCTATGACCCGGAAACCCCCCAACAACCCGCTTTGAGATGTCCCACCTTTCCGGACTGAACCAATGTACATTTTACATATATTGATTGATGTCTCATGTCTCCCTAAAATGTGTAAAACCAAACTGTAGCCTGAACACTTTGGGCACAGGTTCTCAGGACTTCCTGGGGCTGTGTCACGGGTCATGGTCCTCACATTTGGCTAAGGGTAAATCTCCAAATATCAGAATTTGACTCTCTTCATCGACAATTTCCAGCACCAAACAGGAACCTGGTTTTCCCTGAGCAGCTTTCCTGTGTTGCTCTCACTCTACTCTAAGTGAGCTCACACTTACCTGGGTCACCATAGTTCTTTTTTGTTTTGTTTTGTTACGAGATGGAGTCCTGCTCTGTCGCCCAGGCTGGAGTGCAGTGGTGCAATCTTGGCTCACTACAACCTCTGCCTCCCAGGTTCAAGCAATTCTTATGCCTAAGCCTCCCAAGTAGGTGTGATTATGGGCACACCTCACCACACCTGGATAATTTTTGTATTTTTAGTAGAGATGAGGTTTCGCTATGTTGGCCAGGCTGGTCTCAAACTCCTGACTTCAGGTGATCCGCCCACCTCAGCCTCCCAGAGTGCTGGGATTACAGGCGTGAGCCACTGTGCCCAGCCCAATTGTTGATGTTTTTGAGATAGGGTCTCTCTCTGTTGCCCAGGCTGGAGTGTGGTGGTGCAGTCTCTACTCACAGCCTTGATCTCTGGGCTCAGGTGATCCTCCCACCTCAGCCTCCCGAGTAGCTGGAATTACAGGCATGCACCACCACACCTGGCTAATTTTTGTATTTTTAGTAGAGACAGGGTTTTGCCATGTTGCCCAGGCTGGTCTCAAACTTCTGAGCTCAAATGACCCACCCGTCTCAGTGAGTCAATCCTTAGAATCCAAAGTTCTGGGATTACAGGTGTGAGTCACCATGCCCAGCCTGTCCACTGTAGTTCTAATCCATACCAGAAATGCGGAGGGGACGTCAGTGGATCACACCTTGAGAAACTGCTGTAAACAGTGTGAAATCATCAATAGAATTTACTTTTAAGGGCAAGGATTACCTATTATTAACCTTTTCGTATATCCTATTTGAGGGCCTGGAACATGATAGTCACCCAATATATGTGTGACTATCTGAGCTCAAGCAAGATTATTGTTTTCAAGCCTACAATTTTTAAGTAGAGAAGTATCAGAGGCGGCCGGGCACGGTGGCTCATGCCTGTAATCCCAGCACTTTGGGAGGCCAAGGCGGGTGGATCACTTGAGGTCAGGCATTCGAGACCAGCCTGGCCAACAGAGTGAAACCCTATCTCTACTAAAATTACAAAAATTAGCCAGGCGTGGTGGCGGACACCTGTAATCCCAGCTACTTGGGAGGCTGAGGCAGAAGAATCCCTTGAACCCGGGAGGCGGAGGTTGCAGTGAGCTGAGATCGTGCCACTACACTCCAGCCTGGGCGACAAGGTGAGACTCCGTCTCAAAAAAAAAAAAAAAAAAAAAGTATCAGAGACATTCAAACCAGAGCAACTCCATCTTGAACAGGGTTTGGGTAAAATAAGGCTGAGACCTACTGGGCCTCATTCCCAGGAGGTTTGGCATTCTTAGTCACAGGGTGAGATAGGAGGTCAGAACAAGATACAGGTCACGAAGACCTTGCTGATGCATCATCCATTCTGTTGAGGGCCTGAGTAGTGGGAAAAAAAAAAAACCAGCCAAAACCCACCAAAACCAAGAAGGCAATGAAAGTGACCTCTGGTTGTCTTCATTGCTCATTATATACTAATTATAATACACTAGCATGCTAAAAGACCCTCCCACCAGCGCCATGACCGTTTGTAAATGCCATGGCAACATTCGGAAATTACCATATGCCGTCTAAAAAGGGGAGGAAATTTCAGTTCCAGAAACTGCCTATCCCTTTCCCAGATAACTCATGAATAATCCACCCCTTGTTTAGCATACAATCAAGAAGTAACTATAAGTGTATTCAACTGAACAGCCCATGCCACTGCCCTGCCTATGTAATAGCCAGAGTAGCCATTCTTTTATGCCTTGCCTTTCCTTTTTTTTTTTTTTTTTTTTTTTTTGAGATGGAGTTTTGCTCTGTTGCCCACGCTGGAGTGCAGTGGCGCAATCTTGGCTCATTGCAACCTCTGCCTCCGGGGGTCAAGTGATTCTCATACCTCAGCCTCCTGAGTACCTGGAATTACAGGCGTGCCACCACGCCCTGCCAGTTTTTTTATTTTTAGTAGAGATGGGGTTTCGCCATGTTGTCCAGACTGGTCTCAAACCCCTGACCTCAAGTGATCCGCCCGCCATGGCCTCCCAAAGTGCTGGGATTACAGACGTGAGCCACCACACCCAGCCTATTACTTTCTTAACAAACTTGCTTTCACTTTACTCTATGGACTCACCCCAAATTATTTCTTGCACAAGGTCCAAGAACCCTCTGTTGGGGTCTGGGTCAGGACCCCTTTCTGGTAATGGAAGTAACATGATTGTTTTGGGTTTAGAAAGCAAATACTAGCCAGGATGTTTAAAAATAGAAAATACTTCATTACTTCTCTAAAACAGATGAAAATACAATGTTAATTTGCTATGTCTTTCTACAGCTTTAGTTAGAAAATGGAGAAAAAAGTAGAGACCAGAGTCAAGGGAACCAATTTTGCCTCCTTTAATTAAAGTGGAAGAACACATTAGAATAGTAATTCCAGGTAGAGGAATGGGCTTCTGATTGGTTGAGATTGCCATAACTCTAATGATATACCAAACCCTATTGTAAGAGTATTTTTTTTCTTTTTCTTTTTTGAGATGGAGTTTTGCTCTTGTCCCCCGAGCTAGAGTGCAATGGCGCAATCTTGGCTCACTGCAACCTCTGCCTCCCAGGCTCAAGGGATTCTCCTGTTTCAGCCTCCCAAGTAGCTGGGATTACAGGCCTGTGCCACCATGGCCAGCTAATTTTTGCATTTTTAGTAGAGACGGGGTTTCACCATATTGGCCAGGCTGGTCTCAAACTCCTGACCTCAGGTGATCCAGCTGCCTTAGCCTCCCGAAAGTACTGGGATTACAGGCATGAGCCACTGCTCCCATCCTCTTTTTTCCCTGCCTTTTTGAGAGCCACCATGTTTTTTTAATAATCTAATTTTGGAGGTGACACATGATCACTTCTGCTCTATTCTGTAGTCACAGAGATCAACCCTGGTTTAGCATGGGAGGGGAATGCACAATGGCGTGACTAGCAGGAGGCAGGGGTCAGTGGAGGCCACCTTAAAGGCTGCCTACTACAACCTTCAGACTTCTGTTTCTATCTCCTGGGGCAGATATTACCTGAGCTAGGGTCATCCAGAGAAGCAGTCCAATAGGATGTATGAATATCTCTGGAAAGAGGTGTATTATAAGGTATTGGCTCATATGATTATGGAGCCTGAGAAGTCCCACGAGCTGCCATTTATAAGCCGGAGACCTAGAAAAGTTCGTGGTATAGTTCAGTGGCCTGAGAGCCAGAGACCCTGTGGCACAGGTTCAAGTCTCAGTCTGAAGGTCTCAGAGCCAGGAGTGCTGAGGGCGGATCGATGTCCCAGCTCAAGCAATCCGGCAGAGATAATTCACCTTCTTCTTCTTCTACTCAGGCCCTCAACAGAATGGAGGATGCCCGCCCACACTGGTGAGGGCCATCTGCTTTACTCCATCCACCAGCTCAAATGCAAACCTCTCCCAGAAACCCCATCGCAGGCACACTCAGCAATAGTGTTTACAAGAGTCCAGCTGGGCATCCTGTGGTGCAGTCAGACTGGCACACAACATTAACCATCACGCTCCCCTACTTTTGCTTGGTGGATTCTTGCTCTTCCCCTTCTCTCCATGTGGTTTGATGAGTCTGATCCTGCCCCTGCTCCCACTGGGCTCCAGAGGAGGGCAGCTGATCCAGGCCTGGACCGTCAGCTTGCTCCATCCATTGGCTACCATGATAGCTTCACAGAAAAGCATGTGGCCAAGCTGATCGGGTTAGAGCCAGTTACAGCATCCTCAAGAGGATGACATCAGCCAGGAGTGGTGGCAGCTGTCTTTGCTACTTTGTGAGAAGATCCTCACCCCGTGTGGTGACACTGGAAAGCAGGCTGAAAGCGTAACCATCAAAGAGAAAGGTTAGCTCTCTCTGAGGGAGAGAACAGAAACCAGCTCCACAGTAATCAGGATTTGGAAAAACAGAAGGTTACAGAGGCAATCCCCGCAGCCCAGAGCTGTAGTATTTCCCAGGTCTTTCAAACACATTTAATTCTGCACAGGGAAAAAAATGGCATCATTATTTAATCCAAAATACAGTAACCACAATAGATTGCCCATGTGGGCACATAAGTCCCCTGCAGAGAATTTAGCGTGCGTGCTGCCTTTACCCACATGTACAACCAAGGCAGTGTGAATGGGGTCAGTCCTTTCCCATGGCCTGGGAAGAGAGAACGTGGATGCCCATGGTTGTTGTAACAGCAAAAAGCGGGGGAAACAAAGCCCAAGGGTATAGCTGCGACTCCACTCAAGACTAATGCATATCTTCATTTTAGTCCTCAGCAATAATCCAAAGAAATATCTGGTGCTACTGAAAGACTACTGTCATCCCTGGTAGATACTCATCCATTATCATTAAGTATTGCACAGCTCAGGTCAAGATCTAATATGTCTGAGAAAAACCATGGCACCTCCTTTTAATCTTGCATAGAAAACAAAGTATGTAGAGCACATTATTAAAATATGTAAAATTTATAATTTATAAGATTGCATGGCTTTATGATCTAATAGTTCTGCTGTATTTTGCATATTAGTGAACAATTGCTTTCTTAGGGCACACAGTAGAATCATTTACTTGATGCTGGAGAATAAATTAATTTTGGATTCCCTGTATATGACTAATGGATTTAATCATCACTTTACTGTAGAATTAACTTATACTTCCCTGTGCTTATAGCACTAATGATGATATTCATAAAAGTTATGTTTTTAAAAAAATGTAAGGTTGGCACAAAAAGAGAAACCAGTGTATAACTTGGTTTTCGAGCCAGCACTTGTAAATAGTTACTTCAGAGCCATCAAGGCCCTCCTTTTGCTCTGTAATAAATCACACATACCATCTCCACCTCCCACCCCCGCCACCACCACCACCGTCACCATCACCACCACCACCAGCCCCACCCCACCATCACCACCACCCCCACCATCACCACCACCACCATCATCACCATCACCACCACCATCACCATCACCTTCATCATGATCATCATCTGGGTTATTCTTTCCTCATGGAATTAAATGATGGAAGACCTAGATTTTATTTCCAGCTCTGTCAATTTATAGCAAGGAGTGACCTTGGGTTACTAAACCTCTCCCAACCTGCTCCATGGCTCTAAAATGGGAAAACCGATAACTTCCCTCTGATTCTGAATGTGATTTGTCCACTGTTCAGACCTAAATACAGGCAGTGAATTATGACGGTGCTCTCTCCTATCCCAGCAGACGTCATTCACCTCTTCATGAAACACTCTGCCAATTTGGGCATGGAGATTTAAAAATCCTGGAAGAAAAGAATTAAGGCTTGTGCTCTGGTATAAGCTGCCTTGCACAGAGCTGTTCAAGAAGTATATGTTTACTAAATACATGCTGATAAATTGATTGAAAGCATGTAAATTGTTAATTCACTCTCTCAGGACCTGAGGAATTGTAATTTTCTTTACTTCAGAGACCTGTAGCTCTCGCTGGGAAGCCTTGAATCACTGTCTTTCTGCCTCACGTCCCCCGCCACTGGCTCCCAGCATCATGCTCTGCAGAGAGCAAGGTCACAAATGGTGAGAACGGACTGCCAGGAAATGGGATCTGGCCCCCAGTGGGGACTCAGGACACCTAAGGGCACCTTAGACTTCCTCTCTTCTGGTTTCTTCAGGGTGTTGGATATTGGGTATCCCTTTTCCTCTTCCTTAGCATTATAAAATACTAAATTGCTTTCCGACAAGAGAGAGAAATCCACATTTGTTTTACTATAACTTGACATATTAAAGGGAAATTTTTAAGCTAAAATTTCAAGATTTCACTCAGATCTTCTTTGGGTAATTAAATGTCGCTGGTAAACAGGAGGCTGCACTGAATGTCCTGATCTCTGTTAATACCTAAACTTCTGTTGTTGTTTAATGAGCTTCATTTATAACACATGTGCTCACGACAGCCCCCCTCTCAAGCCACAGTCCAGTCACTTCTGTGACAATTGGGATGATTTGTTCATAGTCTGTTTATTCTTTTAAAAAATACTCAGAATACTTCCTGAAAATCCTTATTCTCATTGAAAATATGTAACCCCGAAAAGCCCTTGCCCAGGTTCATGCCCTTTTCTCTTCACCCACAGCCTTTAGCTTTTGGCCTAAAACAGTGCTTCAGGGACCATGATGTGCGTACACGTCACCTGGGTATCTGTGCACAGTCTGACTCAGGTGGGGCCCAGATTCTGCATTTCCAGCAAGCTCCCAAGAGGAGCCAAAACTTGGTCCCAGGCCACACTTTGAGTAGCAAGAACCTAAATTTTTTGTGGATCAGCCTCAAAATAATCCCTCTTTAATTTTATACCAAGAAAATCCACATTATACTTATACAATTTTGTAATGCAACAGAAACAAGTGTTTAAGCTAAGCAAATTCTATTACCACAAAAATAATTCTGTTATTCTTTTTCTCTTGAAATACTGAAACCCATCATCTTTTATTTCTATTCCACTTCATGTCCATTTCAGCCTCATGTTCCCTTCTCCTATTTCAACCTGCTCTACAAGCAGAAGGCAAACTAAATGCGTTGAGTGTTACATAAGCACAACCGCACCTCAGATTTTCAGGGGTTGTTTGCCTTTCAAATGTTAAATAATATCTAAAATGTCTTCAGGTTATGTCATACTTTATAACTTACAAAGGGCTTGCATACACTTATTTCATAAAAATAAGTTCATGCCTGGGAAGAGATGGAATAATGGAGTTTAAAAAAGGTAGATGTACTTTGGAGTGAGATTCACAAATCCTGTCTCTGCTGAGAAGTCAATCTTGGGCAAATTACTTAACCTCTTTGCGTATGTTTTCTCATCTGTCAAACAGGGTGTGTAATAGTGGCATCATGAGCTAGCTGTTTGGACGAAGGTTATAGTTGGAAGATTTCAGAGAAAAACGAATGGCCAATACTTGGAACCTAGAGGGCCTTTGGTATGTGTCCCCTCAATACTCACATCAGCCTGTTCCTCTAATTCTACTTCCTGTGCAGGGTTTTTCAATGCACTCTGTTCTGGGGTACCTGTCCTTCTCCAGGATAGCACCTGGAGTCTAACCCCATCGCTTCCTTTCCTCTTTATCTGCGGACCTTTCCAATTCCTCTATAAAATCCGCCGCTCTTGTGAAACGTGCAGTGGTGTTTGACACCTAGGTTTCAAGTGATCAAACAAGACATGATGACAAATCTAAGAAAAATGACACCAGCCCTTTGAAGGAAACCAAAATCAATTCTCTTTCCTCCTCTTCTTCGAGCTCCCCTCTTTTTCCACTGTTATTTTACCTCATCTATCATAAGGAGACAGAAATCTATATGTCTAGTTTCAATCACCATTTCTCAGGCACACAACCCACTTAGCAAGAGTCTAAAGGAAGCCAATATAATATTCTGCCCAGAGTAATAATCAGCTAAAGGTTACTGTGCCAGAGTAGGTTAATTATTCTAAGAGGACTTACTTTTACTATAGTTAATGATCACTATGAACTAAAAAAAAAAAAAAAAACCCTGCTCTTTGTTGAATGCCTCTGTATCCCCTGGGAGCTTCTACATATGTATCTGATTTCATCCTCATTACAACTCGGTGAAAGGTTTTTCAATTTTAAGGAAATTTTAAGATCAAGATGGTGAAATTACCCAAGGTCACAAGTTAGTGATAGGCAAGCCAAGATTCAAACAAAGCCGTAAGTGATTGTCTGATTGTGTTTTGTTACTATTGCTTTTAATTTAAAAATTACGTTTAGCCAAGTAACATGTGCACTATCTGAAGGTAACATCTCCCAGATAGGTCAGTTTCCCCATAGAAGGATCTCCCGGTTTCTCACTTGAAAGATACAGGCCTGGCTGCCAGCATTCTGGGAGCCCCTAGGGAAATGGCCTGAGGTTTCCCTGTTCAGTCCATTACTTCCCCTTAATCTCCTGGTCCAGCATCTTATCCCTGGCCACAACTGAGCAAACCTTACAAGAAATTAAACTCCTTGCCTTTTTTCTTTTTATTCTTCTCTTGAATGAGCTACCTTCAAAGGAATCTTGTTTTTCTATATAGCAATTTTCAAAACATCCCGTTTTCAGGCCCAGTCCACAACCCTGCCTTCAGGGGTTCATATTGCTTTCAAGTCTTGACATTCTGAAGTTCTGTAGTGCAACGTGGCTGGCCTCTTGTCGTCTTCCCCCACGATGGATCTCTAGGTCTGCCCTGTCTCTGCTGTACTAAATCAGTTACCACCTATTCATTTGTTATCCAGCTTCCAAACGTTGTGTTGAGTTCCCCCATTTGCTGTGGAGCCCTCTCCTGTTCTCTCTGCCTTTATTAGTTTGTTTTTCAAATTCCTTCAGTATCATTTTAGTGGAGTTTGAGGAGAAAACCATAATACATGTGAGAACTCTTTGACCATGTGTTTAACAAGAAGTCCTATCCTTTATTATTGCTTAATAGTTATTTTATATTAACAAAAATTTAAAAAGTTTTATTTTTTTTCTTTTTGAGACAGTCTCGCTCTGTCGTCCAGGCTGGAGTGCAGTGGCACGATCACGGCTCACTGCAACCTCTGCTTCCCGGGTTCAAGCAACTCTCCTGCCTCTGCCTCCCGAGTAGCTGGGATTACAGGCGTGCACCACCACGTCCGGCTAGTTTTTTTGTACTTTTAGTAGAGACAGGGCAGGCTGGTCTCAAACTCTTGACCTCAGGTGATCCACCGCCTTGGCCTCCCAAAGTGCTGGGATTATAGGTGTGAGCCATGGCACCCGGCTGCTTAGTAGTTATTTTAGAGTCATGGTGTGTTAAATGATGCCCAGAACCTCACTTGAGCCCCAGATAAACAGAAGCCAGTTAGGTTGGGCCATAGATACTTTCTAATATTTCATAAAATAGTAGTCTAAATGTATTGGACATGTTAGTCTTATGATTAAGAAGAAAAGGAAGGAAGCAGGCAGAGAGGGAAGGAGGTAAAAAAAAAATGGAAAATAGCTCCCTAACACTTTTTAAATCATACATGATAATAAACTTTATGCTTTACATAATTTTTCTTTATTAATATTTCTTGGACTTCACTGTAAAACAATTTTATTCTCATATAATAACTCTCTCAGGGTTTGGCTTCCAGAACCAATCAAGAGGCAAAAACTACAATTCCACTGTCAAGATTATAGTTTGTTTTAAACCCTAACGTTGTCTTTTAAAAAATTGCATCCCAGAAGAGCATTTGTGGATTTTTAAATATCCCATTTATCCTCTCTAAACTTGGAATCTGATGTCAGCATTGCCTTGAAATCGTCTGTGGCAGATTTATAATTTTTCTGGAGGGGAAAGAGGGAAAAACAAGATGAAAAAATGGGGACTTTTTTTCTTTTGGCTTAAAACCAAAGATTCAAAGCTGGTATGAATGAATGGCTTGGAATGAAGCCTCTGGTGAGCATAGTGGTGTTTGCAGTCCTTCTACAACCTTTGCATGGTTTGCAGGGTCTCCCCACTTTGTGTCATGACTGCTGGCTGAGGTTATTCTGGGGAGATGATAGCTGTGGAAAATGTGATGTAGAACTCTGCTCCCAGCCTGCATGCTCCCTTTCCAGGACTGTGTTGGATCGATGCAGCTCTACTTGGAACGGTGGAATAGGGGCAGAAATACAGAAATTGGTTTTTTTTTTTTTTTTTTTTTTGAGATGGAGTCTTGCACTGTCGCCCAGGCTGGATGGAGTGCAGTGGTGTGATCTCAGCTCACTGCAACCTCCACCTTCAGTTCAAGTGATTCTCCTGCCAGGTAGCTGGGGTTGCAGGTGCCCACCACCAGGCCTGGCTAGTTTTTTTATTTTTAGTAGAGACAGAGTTTCACCATGTTGGCCATGCTGGTCTCGAACTCCGACCTCAAGTGATCTTCCCGCCTCAGCCTCCCAAAGTGCTAGGATTACAGGTGTGAACGACTGCGTCCAGCCGAAACAGCCATTTCTATGATCAGTGTGTGAACAACCTGACTTGTTCCTGGATGCAGAGATGCTCACAGATGGAGAATCACGGAGCCACAATGCATCTGTGTGAAACAGGAAAAAAACTATGAGGATGTCTGCCAGTTGAAGGAGGTAAACTCTCAGACGAACTCTAGTAGTGGCATGAAACATAAAGGACCTTGTGATTCAGGTAATACAGAATCTGCACACCATTCAATTCTTACTAAAGAATAAAAGATACAGATGTCTGCATGTGTTTTTCTATTTCTGACCTTGATTGTATGTGTTGAAATGATGTAAAAGCCTACTATCTGTTCCGTGGTCACCATCTGATTTAATGTCTAGATTATTTGACCTCCAGCAGATCTGAAAAACTGGAGTGTGCAGAGCCAGTTGTCCAGGGGTCCAGGGCTTGATTTGGTGCTCCATATTCAGACCACTCAAGGATCAAAAAAATTAGCAAGCATAGAGTTTAAGTGTGACTTCAGGAGTACTAGCAGATGTTTCTGTGTTTATTTCATAACAACAGAATATTTAGTGATATCTAGATGGAATTAAAAGTAATACGCAGTGAAGGGTAAATGCCTTAATATGAATTATATCTGCTGAACTCAGCATATTTAAAAATAGGATTTGATGAATTAATTGGATGAAATTTTGTTGTGGTGTGTCAAAACTTATATCCTCTGAATCACATGAAAGTAGATTGTAGATCTACATTACTTGATAAGTACAAAAGACTTCCTATGTCAGTGGAAAATTTATTTGCATTTATATTGGTACACTAAAGAACCATAAGAAGACAAAACATAGTTCTCACAAGGCTACGATATTCTTGATAGGAGAAAGAAGCCAACGTAGACATAAAACTGCTGTACTCATTGGGAAAGATGAAGAAAAATACAGCAATCAGAACAGCAACTTTCACAAAGACAGTTGACAGCTCCATGTTAACATGAAGCATTCTTCAAAAACAAGTTGCTCCAGTTTCTTGTAGATTTTCCAGTGTCCTAATGCATGCTCTCTGGAGTTCTAAATTGCTTCTTAAACACTTCAGAACATACGTCTGGAAATCGCCGTTAGTGAAACAGAGTAAGTGCAACCATTTCCTCGGTGCCCAGAATCCACTGTATCACATGCGCACACTCTAGACACACGTATCTCATGTATGACTATTGCATTTAGTTTTCAAAAGTCCATTGGCATAATTTTCCCTATTACATTTGTTTCTGACAAGTAAAAATGTGAGATCTCAAGAGGCAGATTCTCAGAATGAAATAAGGCTTAGCCAGCGATGTCCCCCGCTGTGACAGTGTCAGCCCATTCTAACACAGTGCTAGAATTACAAACACAAATGCACAAGGTGTGCAGAGCATTGCAGTACTGGTTGTGCTGAAATCCAAGACTCCTGAGGATTACACACGTTTAGCAAAAAGAATGATTTGCCTAAGATCCAGGTGTTCAAAAGAATTTCTCCAATCTGCTTTAGCTTATTACTATGTATGTATTCTGTTTTAAATGAGAAATGACAGTCATTTTTTCCAGAATAATAGAACCACAGTGACACTTGAAGTAAGTCCAGTGATCCTGATATGATTATAATAAGAATAATAATTATTATTTTGAGACAAGGTCTCCATCTGTTGTCCAGGCTGGAGTGCAGTGGCACAATCAGTGCTCACTGCAGCCTTGACCTCCTGAGCTCAAGCAATCCTCCTGCCTCAGCCTCCCAAGTAGCTGGGACTACAGGCATGCACCACCATGCCCAGCTAATTTTTTTGTATTTTTGGTAGAAACGGGGTTTCATCATGTTGTCTTAAACTCCTGGGCTCAAGTGATCCTCCCACCCTGGCCTCCCAAAGTGCTGGGATTACAGGCGTGAGCCACTGTGCCTGGCCTATCATTATAATTAGTGATTATAAGACTAAGTTTTCCTTCCAATGTCCACTTTTTTTTAGTTTTTAAAGAAAACTAATATAATAGGGTACCTTCTCTAGTATCATATTTGAAATCATCAAGCTAGTTTTCAAATCTACATCACTTCTAATTATTTATTTACAACTCCTCAGTGTAATTTGTGAGTTTCCTGGGCTGAGAATACGGGTGTAAAGGACTGATGGTATCAGTTATTCGGGAGTGTGGAATCTTACCATTCTCGATTTGGTTACCCGCTCCACACTCTAATTTCTACATGGATATTAGTAGCACTATTTGAAGTTAACGTCGAGGAAAATGAATTCAGTGAGTAGGATTCCTTCAGAATTTTATGACAAGCCTTTAAAAACACATTTACAAAAACGTAGTTAACCATTACTCTGCTAACTTATAATATGTTAATACCTTCCTGTAACAGTCTGAATTCACATACTTTGCAAAATGACCAATTTACCAACACAATTATGATTTTCCTGCATTCATATGAAATAATTTATACTTATTTTAACACACTGTTTTATATGTGTATGTGTGTGTGTCTATGTGTGTCTGTGTATATATGTATACACACACATCAGCAACAACAAGCCAAAATCTATTAAAATACTTTCAAGGCTGCACTTTACTTAAATCTGATTCAATGTTGTTGAGCTAAATAATACAAACCTAACCTGGTTTAACAGTCCATTGGGTGTGATTTTCTTTGGGGTTTTGGCCTATAATATGATGGATTGAATTTGAACTTCGGTCATGCAGGGGATATGGAAAGTCTGTGAGACCTTTTTTTTATTTTTTTTATTATTATTATACTTTAAGTTTTAGGGTACATGTGCACAACGTGCAGGTTTGTTACATATGTATACATGTGCCATGTTGGTGTGCTGCACCCATTAACTCGTCATTTAGCATTAGGTATATCTCCTAATGCTATCCCTCCCCCCTCCCCCCTCCCCCCACCCCACAACAGTCCCCGAAGTGTGATATTCCCCTTCCTGTGTCCATGTGTTCTCATTGTTCACTTCCCACCTATGAGTGAGAACATGCAGTGTTTGGTTTTTTGTCCTTGCGATAGTTTACTGAGAATGATGGTTTCCAGTTTCATCCATGTCCCTACAAAGGACATGAACTCTTCATTTTTTATGGCTGCATAGTATTCCATGGTGTATATGTGCCACATTTTCTTAATCCAGTCTATCGTTGTTGGACATTTGGGTTGGTTCCAAGTCTTTGCTATTGTGAATAGTGCCACAATAAACATACGTGTGCATGTGTCTTTATAGCAGCATGATTTATAATCCTTTGGGAGACCTTTTGTAGACAAGACAGGTAGATTTATCATGAGTGATTTTGGCACAGGCTATTGTGAATATATTATGTTTGTAATATACAGGGAAATTAAAGGGCCAGCCTTCCTGATTAATATGTGACATTAGCTGGAACAATGGAGTCAGTATCAGAGTTCCCTTTAGTCAGGAATACATAATTGATTTGTGGGCAATTCAGGATAAAAACAAATAGATTTGATTCATTTAAGCCCAACAAACTATTGTTAGCAATCAAAAATACCCCCAAAAGAGAAGGGGAAAAAACTATTTCCAAATATTGGGAGCTTTTAGCACCAGCTAGAACAAAAATGGTGGTGGTTAGGAGAGCTAAGTAAGCTATCATCTATTCTTTATGAGTTTCTTGATGTAAAATGTACTCCCTAATGTTGACAAGCAACAATTTCACACTAGTTCACTTTTTATTTCTTATCCCATTTGTTTTTGATTTGATGTGGGCAAGTTAATGTGTCCAAGGGCCATATGCAGTAGTTTTGCCCTTGAAAGGGGGAATTTATGTGATTTCTGTGTTTTTATTGTGTGCCTTTGGCACTGACATTTCTCCTTTCTCAGGACAAAAAAATTAATTTAATGTTAAATTGACTGAACACATTCTTATGTCCAGAGATTACTACTAATGAAAAAATAATAAATAGAAGTCATGGAATATAAAATTTATAAAATTTATTAACCTTTATAGGACCACATCAGCCATGAAATAATTATACAGTGTTAGTATCAATTGCTATGTTGACTACAAGTAAGTAATTTAAAAAGTGGGACAAAAAAACAAACACCGCATGTTCTCACTCATAGGTGGGAACTGAACATTGAGAACACTTGGACACAGGAAGGGGAACATCACACACTGGGGCCTGTTTTGGGGGGAGGGGAGACAGACAGCATTAGGAGATACACCTAATGTAAATGATGAGTTAATGGGTGCAGCACAACAACATGGCACATGTATACATATGTAACAAACCTGCACGTTGTGCACATGCACCCTAGAACTTAAAAGTATAGTAAAAAATATATATATATTTTTTTTTTAAAAAGTGGGCAAGATAATTCACATAGCTAGATTAAAGATGTCTTGATTATTTTACCGAGACATAACAAAATCAATTTTCCAAGATGCTGTCTCACTTAAGATAAAATTGAGCTATGTAACAATGACATTACATTATTTTTCAGAAAGAAATTTTAGTATATATATGCATATTCATATACTTTTTTATTTTTATTTTTATTTTAGATAGAATCTCCCTCTTGTCCCCCAGGCTGGAGTGCAGTGGTGCGATCTCGGCTTACTGCATCCTCTGCCTTCTGGGTTCAAGCGATTCTCCTGCCTCGGCCTCCCAAGTACCTGGGATTACAGGCGTGAGTCACACCGCCCAGCTAATTTTTGTATTTTCAGTAGAGACGGGTGTTCACCATGTTGGCCCAGCTGGTCTCAAACTCCTGACCTCAAGTGATCCACCTGCCTTGGCCTCCCAAAGTGGTAGGATTACAGGTGTGAACCACCGCACCTGGCCAAGAGAGACTATAGTTTTATACCTGATAGTCGGAGAGGCTCAGCTGTGGTCCATGAATTTATTCTGTTTGGATCTGATATTTTACTTCTTGATGTGAAGATGAAGAGTTTAGCTTTTGCTATGGGAACAAGGCAGGTGTCTAGGGGAGTGTTGGGGTGATGAGAAGAACACAAGCAACTGATCTTGCTTTGTTGAAGTTGCTACCAAATGATTTCCCTATAATTTCCTTAGAGACTGATCCCCAGCCTCATCTCAAAGGATGGTAATCCAGATGAGTCCAGAGGCCCAAGTTCTCCAGAAGGTGGAGAGGAATGGATGCCATTTGATCCTTAAGCCCAGGTTCAGCTTGTTTTGTGAAGGCCAAATGGGGACCGACTCTTGTTAAGTTCAATAACCCTGTGACTGGTGGACATGGTGACAGGAATAGTTGACCTAATTTAAAAGGTTACATTATCCAGACTTAAAAATGCTGAGTAATTTAGAACAAATCAGTGGAATGACAAGCCTTTTGTCATTATGGATAATGAAACCATGGAATTTGTTATCCCAAGAGAAAAGAAATTGAAACTATACAGGCTTTTTAGAAAGCTGTAGATAAATTCATAACAGAGCTAAATGTGTTAGTAAGGGGAACTAAGATATTTGGGGATATGCCTTTTGCTTCTCTAACATAGGATATGACAGTCTTTTCTCTCTATGGGGTCTTTATTGGGGGTGACAATCATTTGGGTCATGTTATTCCCTGAGCAGGAGAGTAGGAATAGCCACCTGATCCACCAGCTCTGATATCAGGCTGACAGTATTGCTGCCTGCAAAGTCATGAGTTAGACCTGAGGGTCAGAGAAGGTTCTCATCCCACAGTCCCCAGTGATCCCACTGCGAGGCCTTTCTTCATAGATGGTAGCTGGGCTCTAGTTTCTCTGAGACATCTTTGTTTGGAGGAGATGTCCTGCAGAACACAGCCTGTGAGCTTGGTCACTGCCCCCTCTCCCCAGAAGACTTTGACCCAGGGTTATGATAAGAAGCATCTCTAGGAAAGGCTGATGGAGCTGAGGCCCTGAGTGAGGGCTGAGTTTGTCATCCAACTCTCTTCTCAGGTGGCATCTTCTCGTTCACTTTGAACTCCACCAGAGGCATGGAGCCTACCTCCCCTACTCCTCTGTTCAGATATATAGAACTGAGCTGCAACGCAGTCATCCGTTCTCCCATCTATTTCCTCAAACACAAATTTTTAAATTTTTAAATTATATATTTAGATAATTTCAACTTGTTTTTAGATTCAGGGGCTACATGTGCACATTTTTTGTATGGGTATATTGTGTGATGTTGAGGTTTGGGGTACAATTGACCCTGTCACCCAGGTAGTGAGTGAGTATAGTACTCAGTAGTTTTTCAGTCCTTTCCCCGCCCTCCCTCCATCCTCCAGTAGTTCCCAGTGTCTGTTACTATCTTTTTGTCCCTGAGTATTCAGTGTTAAGCTTCCACTTGTAAGTAAGAACATGTGGTATTTGGTTTTCTGTTCCTGCATTAATTTGCTTAGGATAATGGACTCCAGCTGCATTCATGTTGCTGCAAAGGATATGACTTCATTCTTTTTATGGCTGCATAGTATTCCATTGTATAGATGTACCACATTTTCTTTATGCAGTCCACGATTGATGAGCACTTAGGTTGATTCCATGTATTTGCTATTGTGAATAGTACTGCAATGAATATATGAGTGCATGTGTCTTTTGGTAGGATGATTTACTTTCTTTTGAATATATACCCAGTAATGGGATTGCTGGGTCTAATGGTAGTTCTGTCTTAAGTTCTTTGACAAACCCCCAAACTGCTTCTCACAGTGGCTGGAGTAATTTACATTCTCACCAACAGTGTATAAACATTGCTTTTCCTTTTCTACTCAGCCTTGCCAGCATCTGCTGTTTTTAGACCTTTTAGTAATATTCTGACTGGTGTGAGATGGCATTTCATTGTAGTTTTGATTTGCACTTCTCTGATGATTAGTGGTGATTAGCTTTTTTTTTTTTTTTGAGATGGAGTCTCTGTCACCCGGGATGGAGTGCAGTGGTGCGATTTCGGCTCACTGCAACCTCTGCCTCCCAGGTTCAAGCGATTCTCCTGCCTCAGTCTCCTGAGTAGTTGGGATTACAGGTGCCCACCACCAGCCCAGCTAATTTTTTCATATTGTTATAGAGAAGGGGTTTCAACATGTTGGCCAGGCTGGTCTTGAACTCCTGACCTCAGGTGATCTGCCTGCTTGGCCTCCCAAAGTGCTGGGATTACAGGTGTGAGCCACTACACCTGGTCGGTGAGCATTTTTTCATATATTTGTTGGCTGCTTGTATGTCTTCTTTTGAGAAGTATCTGTTCATGTCCTTTGCCCATTTTATGATGGGATTGTTTATATTTTGCTTGTTAATTTAAGTTCCTTATAGATTCTGGATATTAGACCTTTGTTTGATGCATAGCTTGCAAATATTTTCTCACATTCTGTAGATTGTCTGTTTGCTCTGTAACAATTTCTTTTGCTGTGCAAGAGCTCTTTAAGAAGTTTAATTAGGTCTCACTTGTCAATTTTTGTGTTCTGTTGCAATTGCTTTTGGGGAATTAGCCATAAATTATTTTTCAAGGCCAATGTCCCGAATGAGGTTTCCTAGGTTTTCTTCCAGGATTCTTATAGTTTGAGGTATTATATTTAAATCCTTAATATATCTTGAGTTAATTTTTGTATATGGGGAAAGGTAAGGGTGAAGTTTCATTCTTCCGCATATGGCTAGCCAGTTATCCCAGCACCATTTGTTGAATAGGGACTCCTTTCCTCACTGCTTACTTTTGTAGACTTTGTTGAAGATCAAATGGCTTTAGGTGTGTGACTTTATCTCTGGATTCTCTATTCTGTTCCATTCACCTATGTGTCTGTTTTGGTAACAGTGCTATGCTGTTTTGGTTAATGTAGCCCTATAGCATAGTTTGAAGGCAGGTAGCGTGATGCTTCCAGCTTTGTTCTTTTTGTTTAGGATTGCCTTGGCTATTTGGGCTCTTTTTTGCTTCCTTGTGAATTTTAGAATAGCCAAACAAGAATTTTAAATGGGCCAGGCATGGTGGCTCCCGCCTGTAATCCCAGGACTCTGGGAGGTCAAGGTGGGCAGATTACCTGAGGTCAGGAGTTCAAGACCAGCCTGGCCAACATGGTGAAACCCCATCTCTACTAAAAATACAAAAATCAGCCGGGCGTGGCGGCGAGTGCCTGTAGTCCCTGCTACTCGAGGGAGGCTGAGGCAGGGCAATCACTTGAACCCGGGAGGCAGAGGTTGCAGTGAGCTGAGATCGCACCACGGCACTCCAGCCTTGGTGACAGAGCAAGACTCCATCTCAAAAAAAAAAAAAATTTAAAATGATCAAACATTAACTTCACTGGTAACTTGGGTGTTGTTATTTGTTTAAGACTGTTGGTAGAAGAGCTGAGGCAGGACTGGCTTGTCTGTCATAATGTAAAAGAGTCTTGGAAGATGTCCGGGATCCAGGATCTAAAACCCCTTGTGGCCTGTGGAACACCAAGCTCTGTGCCAAAGGGTGGAAGGCTGCCCTGCCACACCACAAATCTAAGCCCAGGGCATAAAACCCCTTGTGGCTTGGATGGAACCCAGGGCTCAGGGCATAAAACCCCTTGTGGCTTGGTTGGAACCCAGGGCTCAGGGCATAAAACCCCTCGTAGCCTCTGGGGTGTGCACAGACTTGTTGGTTCCTTGCTTCTTACTCACAAACATGTCCTCCATTATCTCAAGCAGCAGAGCATATTCTATATGCATCAAAGGAAATGCTAAACCATCACAGCTACACTTAATGCACCACTGCTTTTCTACCCCCACGTCCTCACGCTATCACCTGTTTACTCTCATGTCCTCACCACCTGTTTCTTCGTTTGATCACCAATAAATAGTGTGGGCTCCCAGAGCTCGGGGCCCTCACAGCCTCCATACCAGCGCTGGCCCCCTGAACCCACCTTATGTACTCTTGACCTCTCTTTTCTCATTCCTTTGACTCCGCAGCCCCCACAGCCTGGTGTTGGGACTGATCACCCCAACAAGGACTCTGTTCTGGGGACAGTTGGGAGAAATGAGGGACCCTAAGAGTCTTAGACCAGTTTCTGGCATCAGTACTGATAGGAGACCAATGGCAGCAAGCAGAGTCTCCCTTGGGCTATGGGTTGCTTCTGTTTATTTGAGGGTCTTAATACTATGGTTTGAATATGGTTTGTTCGTCCCCACCAAATCTCACGTTGAAATTTGATCTAGTGTTGGGAGGTGGGCCTGGTAGGAGGTGTTTGGGTCATGACTGTGGATCTCTCATGAATGGCTCGGTGTCCTTCTAGGGTTATTAAGTTCTCCCTTTTTCAAGACTGGCTCAGTCCTCAGGGGAATGGATTCATTCCCTCGGGAGTGGGTTGTTATAAAGCCAGGACGCCCCATAGGTTTGAACATGCCCACTTTCCCTTGGACCTTCTCTACCGTGTTTTGACACAGCCCAAAAGCCCTCACTAGAAGCCAAACAGATGCTGGCACCATGCTTCTTGTACAGCCTGCAGAACTATGAGCTTAAATAATTCTCTTTCTTTATAAATTACCCAACCTCAGGTATTCATTTATAGTGACACAAAGCAGACTAAGACCTTTGGGATATTAAAAAAATACTTAAAATTTCAAAACAGGATTTCAAATGTGGCAGACAAATCAATGCTTCTAACACCAGAAATCCCACAAAGACTCTGTGTAAAATCTCATTTGGAGAGGAGCTTAAAATCTTACATGTGGGGCCCATTGTGTAAGAGTGAGGCCTGAGCTAACTGGCCTGGCTCTCCCTGTGACAAGCATGGGCAGCCAGACAGTAGAGCTGAGCCTGGGTCTTTTGTGAACACTTAGAAGGGGGAGCAGTGATGATTTGGAGCTTTGGCTGCAAGAACAATGCCCTGAAAAATGATATCTTAGACAAGATAGTTTCTGTCTTGCTCACAGAAAAGAAACCTGGAGATAAAGCAATCCAGGGCTGGTGTGGCAGCAACAGGGCCAGAAACGGGCACTGGTTTTGCTGTGTCCTGTGTGTGGCTTCTATTCCCAAGGCCACCTCACAGTCCAAGAATTCTACCTGGGTCTAGTCATTATATCACCATTCCAAGGCATGATGGAGGAAGGTGAGAGAAGGAATGTACCCCCTCCCTTACAGGATTTCCTGAACTTAGCATGCAACACTTCTTCACACAGCTCATTGGCCAAAACTAGTTACATCCTAAGCTGACTGAGAGGGAAGATGGAAAATACCATCTTTTAGCTAAATAACAATTTATCCTGCTTTAAAATATTCAGGATTCTTTTACAAGAAAGTAGTGGGGAGAGGATTTAGGAGGCAAAGAGCAGTTACTGCCACAACCAGTAATCCTTATGTCCGCCTGTTTCACAAGTTCTTGGTCCAGTCTCACATTTACTTTCCCTCACTGCCTGGCCATCTGACATAACTCTGCTCTAGCTGTTTTCTCTGTGTTCCTCTCAACTGTTGTTTGCTACTGATATGATTGCCAGTATATAGATAGAATCTTAGTCCACAAAGCATGGTAGATTAGAAATGGGATGTTACAATATCACATTTCTTTGTACCCACTCTCTTAGGGAATTCAACTTCTAGTTTTCTTTGAGGACCCTGCCCAAGAGACCTTACCTAGCACTAGTAATTCAAGTGGTTTCACTGTCAAAGAATAGACATATTTTTTCTGTCTCACTTGCTTTGATGCCTCCTGCAACCAGTGCGCAGTAGATGACGTATGTCTCAATGTATGTCTCACTGATCCCTGCTTCATTCATGGATATAGTTTATGCTGGCATTAATCATCTCATGCAATTCTAGGACTTCAGAGTCTGCCAACTAGGGCAGTGGGGTGATGCATTGCAAAGCCAATTGGTGTTTCATAATACAATCGTTTTGGTGGAATATCTAGTTCTCCAGGTGAAAGGTCCTTGAAGTTCTTAGTTTCTACTGATTTTAATTGAATCAGTTTAACCACATAGATGTGTTTTCATCCCGGTATGTGTGCAGACCATCAGGAAATGGAATCAGGAAGAATAAAGTGCCATCTAAGAAGAATGTAGAGTCAGGGCCGGAGGGAAGGTTGCTGAAATGTTGCATTCTCCTTGGAGGGGAGAGAGAGGCTGACTGCCCAAGCATGAATTGCAGAGATGCTGTGTAGGTGGGAGTGACCACTCGGTGGCCAGCTGTCAGGCACACATCTGAGCCTCAGCTCTAGAACAGCCAGGACTCCTGCTGGCTGTCATTACACCCCTAGTCATCCACTTTCTCTACAGTATGATTTCTTTAGTGGGAGAGAGAGGGAGAGGTAGAATTTTAGTTTTGCTTCTGGGAATTTCACAACAACTTGAGTATGCTCAGGGGATACTATTTGAATATCATCTGTCAGTGTGTGATAGGTCAAGAAAATTGAGAATTGTGAGTTTGGAGAATTATAGCAATCTTTATTAGGGTTTCATCAAGGCTCTTGACAAGTTTACACACGATATTCTTGAGGATGAGGAAATGTAGCATGTTTGAACCTGATTGAATTAGCATACGCAGTAGGTGCTGATTAATAGCGATGGGTGTCTAATGGGGGGGGTCACTAGGCTCTGTCCTTGTTTAATGAAGACACAAGATATGCTAATCAAGGTTTCAGATAACATGAAATTGGCAGTGATAACTAATATGCTAGAGAATAGGTACGATAATCAGGATCCAAAAACATCTCAGCAATCTGAAAAAATGTACTGAACCTAACAACAGGAAGGTTAGTGGGAAATAAATGCGACATCCTCTCTGGAATCCAAAACGTCAAGTTCACACATACATGTAGAAGAAGACATGCTTAGGTGCACCTGTTTGACCAGGATTTCAACTGCCATTCATTCATTTTCATACCCCCAGTTTACAGATGAAGAAACTGAAACTCGAAAACATAAGGCACTACTCTTACATGGTCCATATGAGGCACAGTCAGGATTGACTAGGGCTGAAGTTCTTAGCCCCTGCTCCATCACCTGGAGCCAGAACTATCACTTCCCTACTTTTACGAATATTCATTAATTCCTTCCTTCATTGGGCAACAAATAATTTTCAAGCCCTTTGTTTAGTGCTTTAACAAAATTCCGGGATTTAATGACGAGTAAGACAGACACAATTCATTTCCTTATGGAAACAATTAAATATTTCTTATTTGTTTCTTAACAATAAAGGGTGACACATACAATGGCAGAATAAAAATGGTATCGTATGTAATGCATGGGAATTCAGGGACGTTCACCTTGAGGGAGTGACATTAAGGCTGACATCTGAAGGATAAAGAGGAGTTAATCTACCAGACAATGGGGAGAGGAAAGAATATTTCAAAAGAAGGAACAGCATGTGTAAAGACCTGGAGGCAAAATGACATAAAACATTGAAGGAATGGGAGAAGGTTCATGACTACTCTGGCATAAAGGTTATGGGGTGTATAATGAGTGATGAAACTGGAGAGGGAGGACAGGGAGGATTGGAGAGGGAGGCCTGGAAGAGTTTTGCAATGCACTTAAAGACATTGGATACTATTTTCATGGGCTGGGAAACCATAAAAAAGTTTTAAGCAAAGAAGTGACTTAATCAGATTTTCATTTTGAAAGCTTCCAATTGGCTTTACTCTAGATGAGGGGAGGGCAGGACAGGAGCAAAACTACATGCCTGGTGACCTGTGAGGAGGCATTACAGGCATTCAGATGAGAGACACTGGTGGCCTTCACTAGTGAGAGTGCAGATGGAAAGAAGTGGACACACCTGAAAAATATACAGTAGAGAAATCAAGGATATGGTGATGGTTTGAATGTGGAGGCAACAGAAGGATTCAAGGGTGACTCAGCATTTGCTCTTGAGACAACTGAGTGGATTGTGAAGCCATTTTCTGATTTTGGGGAACAGCAGGAGAGGAGCATATTTGGGAGAGCAGGTGATGTATTCAGGTTTGAACATGTTGAGTTTGAGGCAACCAGGAGTTGTCCAAGTGGTTGGTGTACAGCAGGCAGTTGGATATAAGAATCTAGAACCCAAGAGAGAGAGGTGTGGGCTGAAGATACAGATTTGGGAGAGAAAAAAAAAACCCTGAGAGCCAACAACAAGAGTAAATTGAGTCCTCCACCATATTCGTAAAAGTAGGGAAGTGATAGTTCTGGCTCCAGGTGATGGAGCAGGGGCTAAGAACTTCAGCCCTAGTCAATCCTGACTGTGCCTCATATGGACCATGTAAGGGTAGCACCTTATGTTTTTGAGTTTTAGTTTCTTCATCTGTAAATTGGGGGTATAGAAACAGCTACTGCATAGTGTTTTTGTAAGAAAGAAGATGATAAAAAATAAAGTGCCTAGCAGAGTACCTGGCACACAGTAAGTGCTGAAAAATTAATAAGGATTATTATTGTTGTTGTTGCTATTATATTTTACTTGTTGTTTGGGTGAATTTACTTTAAGAGGGCCAGGTTGTCAGTGCTTTCTTGAGAGGAGGGACTGAAATTTTGTCACATGATGAATGCTGAAAGAGCCTAGGGTTGGTCAGCTTGCTGTGCAGGAGGTTTAAGGCAGCATTTTTCAACTACACAAAGGAATTCAAGAAGAAAAAGAAGATAGATGCGGAAATTAACCCTCCTAAGACTGAGCCAGAAAGAAGTTGATTCCCTGAACAGACCAGTAACAAGCTCCAAAATTGAATCAGTAATAAATAGCTTACCACCACCACCAACAACAGCCCAGGACCTGATGGATTCACAGCTGAATTCTACCAGATGTACAAAGAAGAGCTGATACCATTCCTATAGAAACTATTCCAAAAAATTGAGGAGGAGAGACTTCTACCCAACTCATTCTATGAGGTCAGCATCATCTTGATACCAAAACCTGGCATAGACACAACAAAAAAAGAAAACTTCAGACCAATATCCCTGATGAACATTGACGCAAAAATCCTCAACAAAATACTGGCAAACCTGCTCACTTTGGCAGCACATATACTAAAATACTGGCAAACAAAATCCAGCAGCACATCAAAAAGCTAATCCACCATGATCAAGTAGGCTTCATCCCTGGGATGGCTCAACATATGAAAATTAATTAATGTGATTCATCACATAAACAGAACTAAATACAAATACCATATGATTATCTCAACAGATATAAAAAAGACTTTTTCGAGGCTAGCCTGACCAACATGGAGAAACCCCGTCTCTACTAAAAATACAAAAAAATCAGCCGGGTGTGGTGGTGCATGCCTGTAATGCCAGCTACTCGGGAGGCTGAGGCAGGAGAATCACTTGAACCCAGGAGGCGTAGGTTGTGGTGAGCCGAGATCATGCCATTGCACTCCAGCCTGGGCAACAAGAGTGAAACTCCGTCTCCAAAAAAAAAAAAAAAGACTTTTGATAAAATTCAACATCTCTTCATGTTAAAAACTCTCAATAAACTAGGTATTGAAGGAACATGCCTTAAAATAATAAGAGCCATCTATGACAAACCTACAGCCAACATTGTAATGAATGGGCAAAAGCTGGAAGCATTCCCCTTGAAAACTGGCACAAGACAAGGATGCCCTCTCTCCCTAATCCTATTCAACATAGTATTGAAAATCCTAGCCGGAACAATCAGGCAAGAGAAAGAAATAAAGTGTATTCAAATAGGAAGAGAGGAAGTCACTCTGTTTGCAGATGGCATGATTCTATATCTAGAAAACCCCATAGTCTTGACCCAAAAGCTCCTTCAGCTGATAAGCAACTTCAGCAAAGTTACAGGATACAAAATCAATGTACAGAAATCACAAGCATTCCTATACACCAACAACAACCAAACTGAGAGAAATCAGAAATCAAAATCCCATTCACAGTTGCCACACATAAAATACCTAGGAATACACCCAACCAGGGAGATCAAAGATCTCTACAATGAGAATTACAAAACACTCCTCAAAAAACTCAGAGAAGGCACAAGCAAACGAAAAAAACATCCCATGCTCACGGATAGGAAGAATCAGTGTCAATAAAATGGCCATACTGCCTAAAGCAATTTACAGATTAAATGCTATTCCTATCAAACTACCAAAATATTCATCACAGAACTAGAAAAAAAAATTATTTTAAAATTTATATGGAACCAAAAAAGAGCCTGAATAGCCAAGACAATCCTAAGCCAAAAGAACAAAGCTGGAGACACCACATTACCTAACTTCAAACTATACTACAAGGCTACAGTAACCAAAACAGCATGGTACTGGTACAAAAACAGGCACATAGACCAGTGGAACAGAATAGAGAGCCCAGAAATAAGGCCACACATCTACAACCATCTGATTTTTGACAAAGCCGACAAAAGCAATGGGAAACGATTCCGTGTTTTATAAATGGTGCAGGGATAACTGGCTTTCCATATGCAAAAGATTGAAACTGAACCCCTTCCTTACAGCACATGCAAAAATCAACTCAAGAAGGATTAGACTTAAATGTAGAACCCAAAACTATAAAAACCTGGAAGACAACCTAGGCAATACCATCCTGGACCTAGAAACAGGCAAAGATTTCAAGACAAAAACACTAAAGGCAATCATGACAAGAGCAAAAATTGCCAAATGGGACCTGCTTAAACTAAAGAGCTTCTGCACAGCAAAAGAAACTATTATCAGAGTGCACAGACAACCTACAGAATGGGAGAAAATATTTGCAAACTATGCATCTGACAAAGGTCTAATATCATATAAGGAACTTAAATGTACAAGAGGAAAACAGCCTCATTAAAAACTGGACAAAGGACATGAGACACTTCTCAAAAGATGACATGCATGTGGCCAAAAAGCATATTAAAAAGCTCAATATCACTGATCATTAGGGTAATGCAAATCAAAACTATAATGAGATACCATCTCACACTAGTCAGAATGGCTATTAATAAAAAGTTAAAAAACAAAACAAAAACAACAGATGCTGGCACTGGCAAGGTTGTGGAGAAAAGGGAACCCTTATACACTGTTAGTGGGAGTGTACATTAGTTCAACCATTGTGGAAAGCAGTATGGCGATTCCTCAAAGAGCTAAAAGCAGAACTACCATTTGACCCAGCAAATCCTCTGGGCATATACCCAGAGGCACATAACACATTTTAGCATAAAGACACATGCATGCAAATGTTCACTGCAGCACTTTCACCATAGCAAAGACATGGAATCAACCTAAAGGCCTGTCAATGACAGACTGAACAAAGAAAATGTGATACATATATACCATGGAATATTATGCAGCCATAAAAAAGAATGAGATCATGTCTTTTGTGGGAACATGGATGGAGCTGGAGGCTACCATCCTTAGCAAACTAACGCAGGAAAGGAAAATCAAATACTGCATGTTCTCACTTATAAGTGGGAGCTGCATTATCAGAACTTATGCACACAAAGAAGGAAACGACAGACACTGAGGCCTATCGGAGGGAGAAGGGTGGGAGGAGGGAGAGGAGCAGAAAAGATAACTATTGGGTACTGAGCTTAATAACTAGGTGATGTAATAATATGTACAACAGACCCCTGTGGCACATGTTCATCTATGTAACAAACCTTCACATGTACCCTCAAACCCAAAATTTAAAAAAATTAGCCAGGTGTGGTGGCACCCACTTGTAGTCTCAGTTCCTTAGGAGCCTGAGTTGGGAGGATTGATTGAACTTAGGAGGTTGAGGCTGCAGTGAGCCCTAATTGCACCACTGCACTCCAGCCTGGGAGACAGAGTGAGATCCTGTCTCAAAAAAAAAAAAAAAAAAGGTAGAATTTCCCCCATGGGTCCCTAGAAGGGCAAGTAGGATGAATCAAAAGGAGTTTCAGAGAAACTGACCTCAGCTAAATATAGTGGGAACCTTCTAATAGCCAAAGTGCCAAAGTTCTTAGGATAGAATAGTTTTTTGCTTTTGTTTTTTTCAGAAGTACAGACTTCCTCATCTCTAAATTAAATTAAATTGCAGTTAGATGGCCGGGCGCGGTGGCTCATGCCTGTAATCCCAGCACTTTGGGAGGCCGAGGTGGATGAATCACGAGGTCAGGAGTTCAAGAGCAGCCCGGCCAACACGGTGAAACCCTGTCTCTACTAAAAATACAAAAAATTAGCTGGGCATAATGGCGGGTGCCTGTAGTCTCAGCTACTCGGGAGGCTGAGGCAGGAGAATCGCTTGAACCCAGGAGGCAGAGGTTGCAATGAGCCGAGATCACGCCACTGCACTCCAGCCCTGGTGACAGAGTCTCAAAAAAAAAAAAAAAAAACAACGAGTGATACCTGTTGTTGGGGGTAAGGTTGCATGTGGCCTTGCTGGCTGCAGAGCTAGGGCCTAATTTGAATGGGGTGTTTAGGGCCTGGCATCCTCAGCAAGTTCATTAAAATTTATGAACATTACATTACAACATTCATTCTCACACTTGCAACCATAAAAGAGATTATTTTCTTCACTGAGTAGGGCAGGGGGTTAGGATTTTTTATAAGCAGCCTCTCCAATAGCCTGTATCGGCCTCTAAGTCCCAAATGCATGCAACATGGTGCCATGGGTAAAGGGCACAGAACTGTCTGGGAGTGCTGTTGTGAGGTTTTGTTTTCCACTTCCCCTCACCCCATCATTATCCCTCCCCAGCTGAGATGTCTCCTCCCCCTCAGCCCTTCCTCCAGGGTCCAGCTTCAGGAAAGGCCCCGTGCTAAGTAATAAATAGGAGGTGCGCAGGATTTTAAATCTCACCACCTGGGTTTATTTTCTGATAGTAAAATGGAAGAAAAATAGAGTGAAACCTCCATGATTTATGGGCTCCCTTGCTTTCGGAGGTTTTCCGGTTGCATCTTTGTGCTATGCTTGACATTTATGATATAAGATATTAATATCTGCACAGAAGAGCTGCCGGTGCTAATTATTCAGACCTGCTCTGACAGCGAACTAGTGAGCAGCACTCATATGTCAGATCCCATCTATGCATTAAGCCTTTCACTTAAAATAGGTGGGAATGACGAGGCACTATGGGCCTTAGCTGTATAAACTGTGCAGAAAGTCTATAGGATATATTAGTAAATCAACTATGATAGGGCTGCTGAAAAGCAAGCCAATACCTGTCTGATAAATAGAATCCCCAGGAAAGTCTTTGATTTAGGAAATGTGCCAGAGACATAAAATGATATGAGGGAAAATGCAAATAATGAAACTAGCTTTTCCTAATTCAGAAAGGAAAATGTTTGCCTCTCCTTCCAGTCCTTCAGGTTGTCAGATGTGCCTTGTTTCTAGCAGCTATTTATAATATTAATCATTTTAACAGTATCAAACAGACTGGGTTTTTACACTTGATAAATTTTTGATGTTGAACCTTTGAAAAATGCAGTGATGTGATTTTTTTCTTCCTGAAGAGTTTCTCCCCAGAAGCCAGTGTTAATTTGCAGATGCCAACACATGACTAATGGTCTTATCTCAAAAGATTAATCCACACTAAATTAACATAGGACCAAGGCCTCAGGATTGTATAGCCTTTCGTCGTGAGAGATTCCAGGCTTTGTGATTCTGACAGACAGGCTGGCAGTTGTCTCCTCATAAGGGATGGTAGCTGGTTAGTTAATTGGTCAGTCAGTCTGCCTGGTACACCCTGTTACTGCCTGCCTAACAGTCACTGCCCTCCTCTTCTTTGTCAAGAACACCAATTTTGTTCAGTGAGCAATGCGCTCAGCTCCAGATGATGAGATATGATGGAGCTGCTTCAGTTCAGGTGAACTAAATTCCCTGTGATTGGTTCAGAGGTGAGGAAGTGACCTAATTCTGGCCAATGAAATGCAAGAGAAGGATGGAAAGGAGCTGAATGGGTTGGAGGAGGAAAAGGGATGGTGGCTTCTGGAAAAGAAAATAAAAGGTGATCATCATGTGGAAGTTAGTCCTTTTTGTTTCTGTAATTTCCTTCCTGATATTGGATGTGGCTGTGAGAAAACTGGTTCCTGGAGCAGCAGCTATGCTGGGCTCTTGAGTGGAGACCATAGCCAGAACTTTGGGTGGCAGAGCAGACAGACGGAAAGACACTGAGCCCTCGCTGATGTCATCAAGCCACCAAACCAACTGCGGTCAGTTCCTTCTGCCTACCTCTAGATCGCTTTTTAAACAAATAATAAATGTCATGATGCAAGCCACTGTTAGCAAAGGTTTCTGTATGTTGGTGCTGGAAGTATTGCTAATGATACAGCCAATTTTGCAAGCCTGGAAATTGTTTTCTCTCTTAAAAGCATTCATGTCATACATGCATATGGTAAAGCAAAATGTTGAAAAGTATATCAAGGTGTTAAATAGCAAGTGCAAGTATTATTCCAGCTCCCAGTACCCTCCTCAGAGGCAACTACTTTTTTTTTTTTTTTTTGAGATGGAGTCTCGCTCTGTCGCCCAGGCTGGAGTGCAGTGGCGCAATCTTGGCTTACTGTAACTTCCGTCTCCCGGTTCAAGCAATTCTCTGCCTCAGCCTCCTGAGTTGCTGGGACTACAGGCGCCCGCTACCACGCCCAGCTAATTTTTGTATTTTTAGTAGAGACGGGGTTTCACCATCTCGGCCAGGCTGGTCTTGAACTAACGTCGTGATCAACCCGCCTCGGCCTCCCAAAGTGCTGGGATTACAGACATGAGCCACCGCCCCCAGCCAATTAAACGTTTTTTTTAAAAAAATAAATGCAATGGAATGCAATGAAGCTATCAAAAATGCCACTGAGGGAGAATATTTATTGACAAATTCAAATGTTCAAGGCATATTCTTAAGTAGGGAAGCGCCAAACTTTCTAAATGGAGCCGGTGTTCTTTTTGTAACTGAGAAGATTTAGTTTAAAAAAAATATATATATATATACACACACACACACACACATATACATACATACATCCGTTGGCTTCACAGTAGCTGGCACCTCCCTCCCCTTTGCTTCAGGCACTTCCTGGGAGTCCTCGTCCATTCTCACCTCAGCGACGAAACCCCTCCACATACCCTGTTTCTCCTCACATTTATCCCCGAAAATGTTATATAATTATGTGTATGGCTTATTGTCTGCTCCCTACCCCCCAAAAAAATGTTCTCCAGGGCAGTGACGTTTCTTTCATTGATTGATACATGTGAAACCACTTGCAACCGTGCTTGGCACACAGCAGGTGCTCAGTGCCCCTCTGGTGAATAACTGAGGGGCACTAGGTCTGTTCTGGGCCGTTTTCCTGCCGCCCACGCCCTCCCTCCCGAAATTCCCACAGACACAGAGTTGCAAGTTACTGCCCTCAGCGAACCTCCCCTTATCTTCCCTATAACCAGGAACCTGGGGCCCTCCAGCTCACAGGGGCCCTCTTGTGGCATGTGGGCGCGTAACAGCTCAGCCGGGACCCCGCCTCAAACGCATGGAACTACACTTCCCCGAATGCAGGTGTCCTCTCGTGGACTCCATTTCCCAGCGGCCTCAGCGGCTGCCCCGCCCCTCCTGGTCCCCGGCGCGCCGCGGGGTGAGCGGCGCCGGGCCTGAGGTCGCCCAGACGCCGTCGGGGCGGAGCCGGGTCGCGAGGCTGCATCCCGGCCGGCGGTTCCGGAGCCTCGCGGCTGGGGAGGCGCGGCCCGGGACGCTCGAGCTTAGGGAGGTGAGCGTCGGCGGCAGGCCAAGCCGGTAGGAGGCGGCGCCCGGCACGGGGACTGCCTGCGGCTGCCGAGGCTCCGAAAGCCTTTGTGGGCGCTGGCGGGCACCCCCGCGTCTGTCACCGGCCCCCGCGCCGGGATCTGGACTCTCGCCCCCCCGCGGGGCGCTCCCTCGCCGTTGCTGGTGCACCCGCGTCCGGCTCGCCGTGGACGCCGGGCCTGGCGTTTCCTCCCGGGCCCGTCCTGCCCACTCCATGTGGGCCTCGCGGACTCGGGGCACCGGGACCCCGAGGGCAGGGCGGACGCAGCCGGGCCCCGGTTTCCGAGTCCGTCCCCAGGACGGCCACCCCTCCCGCCTCGGGACACCCAGCGCTTTCCTCTTCAGAGCTGGTGTTTGGCCGGGCGCGGTGGCTCACGCCTGTAATCCCAGCACTTTGGGAGGCCGAAGCGGGTGGATCACGAGGTCAGGAGATCGAGACCATCCTGACTAACACGGTGAAACCCCGTCTCTACTAAAAATACAAAAAAAATTAGCCGGGCGTAGTGGCGGGCGCCTGTAGTCCCAGCTACTTGTGAGGCCGAGGCAGGAGAATGGCGTGAACCCAGGAGGCGGAGCTTGCAGTGAGCCGAGATCAAGCCCTGCACTCCAGCCTGAGCGACAGAGCGAGACTCCGTCTCAAAAAAGAAACATCGTGTTAGAAATGGGATACATGGGGTCGGGCGTGGTGGCTCACGCCTGTAATCCTAGATTTTTGGGATGCCAAGGCGGGCAGATCACCTGAGATCAGGAGTTCGAGACCAGCCTGGGCAACACGGTGAAACCTCGTCTCTACTAAAAATACAAAAATGAGCCGGGCGCCTGTAGTCCCAGCTACTCGGGAGGCTGAGGCAGGAGAATGGCTTGAACCCGGGAGGCAGAGCTTGCAGTGAGCCGAGATCCTGCCACTGCGCTACTGCACTCCAGTCTGGCCAACAGAGCGAGACTCCGCCTCAAAAAAAAAAAAGCCGTTTTCCGTGGAGTCGGGAGATGATTCGTTGGCGGGAGAGAGAGGAACCGGCTGGGAAAGGCTTGAGGCGGAGGGAAGTCGTCCCGGGGCCGTCGTGGTGGGAGTCCCGGCCCGCCTCGCAGCGGCGTGAACGGGGCAGGTGCCCCGGCGCTGCCTCAGTTTCCTGAGCGGTGCAGTGGGTGCTGGCAGTGCCAGCTGGCGCCGAGGAACTCAGCGGCGTGGGGCGAGCCCTGGCCCTGGTGGGCTCAGCGGGTCGCTGCTGCCACTGCGGCTCCAGCGTCCCCTCCGTAAGCCCCAAGCCTGTGGGGCCTGGGCCTGGCCGGGCGGCCCAGCGCTGCTCTGGTCCGCGGGCTCCTGGCTCCTCCCGAATCCCTGTGAGGGCGCGCGGGGTCCTTCTCAGCGGGAGTCGGGGTTTTAGAGCTGCGGATTCCAGGGCTGGAAAGCAGAAGGGGTTCTTCCTGGCTCCCTTTTTCTTCTCAGATCTGCCTTCTGGAGACTGCGCCGTCCTCCCGGGAGAGCCAGAAAGAGGACATGGCTGCTGGGCAGCGGGAAGCGAGGCCCCAGGTGAGCTCATTGCCCTCCCAGATCCCAGTGGATGGATTTTCCCCACTAACTGGAGTTCTTCACCCGGGACCATCTCCAGCCAGGATGGAGCCCAAGTCCTTTTCTCTTGGAGGAGCTGGTCCGCCCTCATGAGTGGTGGATTCTGTAGGGAGGACCACCCACCCTCCCCACCCGTGTCTAGTGGTTCTCTTTTTTTTTTTTTTTTTTGAATCTCGCTTTGTCGCCCAGGCAGTGGCGGGATCTCGGCTCGCTGCAACCTCTGCCTCCCAGGTTGAAGCAATTCTCCTGCCTCAGCCTCCCAAGTAGCTGGGATTACAGGCTCCCGCCATCACGCCCGGCTAAGTTTTTTTTTTTGTGCTTTTATTAGAGATGGGGTTTCACCACGTTGGCCAGGCTGGTCTCAAACTCCTGACCTCAGGTGATCCACCCGCCTCAGCCTCCCAAAGTGCTGGGATTACAGATGTGCGCCACTGCACCCAGCCCGAATAAATCATTTTCTGTACACATTTATTTGTGTGTGTGTGTTTGTGTATGCATGTTACCATCTATGTTACCATTTTAACCTTTTTTTATTGTGGCAAAATATATATAACATAAAATATACCATTTTAACTTTTTAAGTGTATAATTCAGTGGTATTTTAGGTACTTCCGCATTGCTGTGCAGCCATCATCGCTATCCATCTTTATTGTGTAGATTATCACATTTATTTCTTAACCCTAAGGGGCAGGCATTAAAAGGCAGTTTTACAGAGTAGTTAAGAATGCAAGCTCAGTGAGACATCTGCTGGATTTGAATTACACAAGAAAAAACAAAGTCACAGAGAGGATACAAAATTTGTAGAAGTCAGCCGGCCACAGTGGCTCACACCTGTAATCCCAGCACTTTGGGAGGTCGAGGCCGGCAGATCGCCTGAGGTTAGGAGTTTGAGACCAGCATGGTGGAACCCTGTCTCTACTAAAAATACAAAAATTAGCCGGGCATGGTGTCTAGCACCTGTAATCCCACCTACTCAGGAGGCCGAGGCAAGAGAATCATTGGAACCCGGAAGGTGGAGGTTACAGTAAGCCAAGATCATGCCATTGCACTCCAGCCTAGGCAACAAGAGCCAAACTCTGTCTCAAAGAAAAAAAAAAATGTGTACAAGTCACACAGCTGGTCAGTGACTGTGTCTGTGTGACCTGGACAAATTTCTTATCTTGTCTGTGACTTTGTTTTCTCTTGTGTAAAGTGGCAACAATAATGGTATCGTCTTGATAGGATTGTTGTGAATGTTAAATAAAGATTATACACTGCAAATTAACATAAAGCTCTAAGATCAATACTTGGCCCATAGAAAGCCTTCAATAAATTATAGCTATTTTACTTTTCGTCATTACTATCCTTAAGCTTGAGTAAGCACATAGAGAGTACCTTCAGTTGCTTAACCTAACCTCCATCATTAAGTATTTAGATTATTCCTGGTTTTTTGCTCTTAAAAACACCATGAATATGTTTGTGTGTACTTTTGTGCACTGTTCATTATCGTACAAATAGAGTAATTGGTACTTTAAAGAGTATACTTTGAGGGTTCTAATATGTATTAGCAAATCGCCATCAGAAAGAGTTTTCTAATTAACACTCCCACTAATGGCCGTAATTCCTCTACCCATCTCTTACAGTGGCTGCACTAGGCCTGAATCTCACTGTGTGCTGCTCAGTATACATTTGTTACTGGCCAATTATTCATTAAACGAATGATCTGGAACCTTCAGAAGCTTGAATAGTATGGGAAGTGTTTCACGGGTAGCGTGTCTTTCCCACTGCCGCCCCCTCTGCTCTGTGAGGGTGGTCCTGGGTGAGCTGGAACGACTTGTCCTTACAGGTGTCACTGACGTTTGAGGATGTGGCTGTGCTGTTTACCCGAGATGAGTGGAGAAAGCTGGCCCCTTCTCAGAGAAACTTGTACCGGGATGTGATGCTGGAGAACTATAGGAACCTGGTCTCACTGGGTAAGGAAATTTTCCCTCTAGAAACAGAATTCAAAAATTGGGATATCTCAGCACCTCCTTCCCTGAATAAAAGCGGTTGGTCACTGAAAAATTTGAGCTGAGTGTGTGAGGATTGTACAAATCAGATCTTTATAAATAAACATTAAAAACCTATTCCCCCTTATAGGCATGAAATTGCCCTGTGTCTGGGAATGGAAGAGGTGGTATTGATAATCATTCCTCTCTCTCTATGTAATCACACACTCCAAGTTTGTCCATGATTCAGGCATCGTTTCCCAACGATTCTGTAGTTTGCTTGTCTCCCAACAGGGAGCTTCATTCAGCCTCTAGGCCTACCACCTGCCTTTCCCACTTGTCTTTTCCAGGGATTAGCAAACTTTTACTATAAAAAGCCATGTAGGCTGGGCATGGTGGCTCACACCTGTAATCCCAGCACTTTGGGAGGCCAAGGCGGGCAGATCATGAGGTCAAGAGATAGAGACCATTCTGGCTAACGTGGTGAAAGCCTGTCTCTACTAAAAAACACAAAAAAAATTAGCTGGGTGTGATGCCGGGCGCCTGTAGTCCCCGCTACTTTGAAGGCTGAGGCAGGAGAATGGCGAGGAGCTTGCAGTGAGCCAAGTTCCCGCCACTGCACTCCAGCCTGGGCGACAAAGCGAGACTCTGTCTCAAAAAAAAAAAAGCCACGTAGTAAAGACTTTAGGCTTTGTGGGCTGCGTAATGGTCTCCGTAACATATTTCTCTTTTTTTTTCCCACCATTCTTTGCACAGGGCCATACATAAACAGGCAGTGGTCTGAATTTGGCCCATGACCCGTAGTTTGCTGATCACTGCCATCCTTAAAAGGGAGTCACATAGGCCGGGCGCGGTGGCTCACACCTGTAATCCCAGCACTTTGGGAGGCCGAGGCGGGCAGATCACAAGGTCAGAAGATCAAGACCATCCTGGCCAACATGGTGAAACCCTGTCTCTACTGAAAATACAAAACTTAGGCGTGGTGGCATGTTCCTGTAGTCCCCGCTACTTGGGAGACTGAGGCAGGAAAATCACTTGAACCCGGGAGACGGAGGTTGCAGTGAGCCAAGATTGCGCCACTGCACTCCAGCCTGGCAATAGAGCGAGACTCCTCCTCAGAAAAAAAAAGCGGAGTCAGATAGTGTTTTCTCGTTTTAGACAAGCTACCTGGTACATAATCCTTTTCATAGATAACCTACTTAGAAATTCTAATCAGTCTGTATATCTTAACATTTCCTCTTCTATAGAAAGCTAGTGGTATCCTATTACCAATACTGCATGTTGATCATATTTTCCTAACCTATAATTAATTGTCCCAGAGTCATGTCCTACAAGTCACTTGTCTTTTCCTCACCCTACCGCCTTACCCCCTTACCTCCCAGGGGCACAACTGAAGCCCTACACAGAAGCTCTTTGTACCATCCTGTGAGTTCTGTATTTAAATTTGGGATAACTGTATCAATACAAAACCAAGTCTGATTTGTTTGGTTGTGGTTTTTTGTTTATGTGCAGGGCTCCCATTTACCAAACCAAAAGTGATCTCCCTGTTGCAGCAAGGAGAAGATCCCTGGGAGGTGGAGAAAGACGGTTCTGGCGTCTCCTCTCTAGGTAAGTGGGTGGCCCGAGGTGCGGAATGGCCGCAGACAATGGTCTGGTTAATGAGAGGAGGTAGGAACGTTGGTTGGGAAACTCCCTTGAGAATTCTCAGGCCTCAAGAAGTGATGGGGAAGCGGAAGCCCAGGCTCTTAGGCAGGATTCACTTCCCCATGAATCTCTCAGAATCTCTTTCTTACTCTTTCCTGTTGTTTTAGAATAGGGCTGTATTTTCATGTATTCATTCAGCAAACATAGTCTATTTAAGGAATTTCAAATAATCACTCTGGCTGAAGCTCAGGGTGTATTTGGGAAAGGAGGAGGTGAGGAAGGAAATAGCCTAGAAAGCTAGGGAAGGGCCGCGTGGTAAGTGCTTGGGCACGGTTCTAAGAGGTGGAAACTGTCCCATGGAGCACTGGAAATAATGGAAGGATTTGGGCAGGAATCATATGGTCCTTGGTATCTTAGAAAAGTTGGTGTGAATCAGAAACAGCTGAGTCTCCATCCGTGTAAGAACAGCTAAGGGACCTGTGAGCATCACCACCCTGAAAACAAGAGTCCAGGGACGTGGACAGAGCTCCCAAAAAGTTACAGAGCATTGTTAGGACGCCACCATTTATGTCTAATGAAAATTATGTGTATGTGTAATGTGCACATAAGCAGAGAGAAAGGTTAGGAGGACACACCTTAGCTGATGACATTAGTTACACTTGGAATGGGATTGAGAATGGGTCCATGGAAGGGGGCATTACTTACATGTAGTATTTTAATGTTTCACAAAGAGAATATATTTGTGACGTTCTTATGTGATTTGAATTCACAAGAATGGTCACTTTGGAAGCATCGTGTTTGAAAGTGAGGCAGAACGCTGGGCACGGTGGCTCACGCCTGTCATCCTAGCACTTTCAGAGGCCGAGGCGGGCGGATCACCTGAGGTCAGGAGTTTGAGACCAGCCTGGGCAACATGGCAAAACCCTGCCTCTACTAAAAATACAAAAATTAGCCAAGCGTGGTGGGGCAGGCCTGTAATCCCAGCTACTCCGGAGGCTGAGACAGGAGAAACACTTGAACCCGGGAGGCGGAGGTTGCAGTGAGCCGAGATTGCGCCACTTCACTCCAGCCTTGGCGACAGAGTGAGACTCTGTCTTAAAAAAAAAAAAAAAGGCGGGAAGCCTTGCAGAGCGATTGCAGTCATGGAGGGAGGCAGGAGGTGGAAGGGCCTGGATGAAGGCACTTGCCGTGAGTTCGTGAGGGAGGAGGCGGCGCCCACGTGATCAGGGTACAGGAGCAGTTGGGTGTGGGATGGATTTCACTTGAGATGTGAGTGAAGTCGTCAGGTGGGGAACCCTGGTGGGCAGGTGTGTAAGTGACAGGGCCGAGACTCAAGGGAGGTCAGGGAGCCCATTAGCATGATGGGCATTAGAAGCTTGGAGCTGGCCAGGTGAGGGGGCCAAGTGGAGGCCCGAATTTCAGGAAACAGCATTTGCGAGGTGCTTAAGCAGGAGGAATCTGACAGAGCCCGAGAAGTAATCAGAGTAGAGAAACGGGGAGGGGCCATCGTGGCAGTGGGGGACTGAGAGTGGTTGAACTGGGGGGGCTCTGGCTCTGGGGGATCAAGGTTGAACCCTCGCCCACAGCTTTGTATAGCATTGGGCAGAAAGGGACACAGGTCTCCTGCTTCTGGAGTGCACGATCTAGTGGGGGACAAGGTGAACACACTCATTGCACACAAGGCACAGAAGGACACATTCCAGTGAGGACCACGTGGGAAAGACACTCGGTGCTGTGAGAGTGCAGAGCAGGCAGGTGGCGTCAGCAAAGGCTTCCCTGTGGAAGGGCCTGGGATCAAAGGACTGAAGAATTGCTCAGGCCTAAAGAAAGGTGTTCATGAAGGTCCAGAGAAGCAAAGCCAGCGAGGAGAAGGTGGAGCACCCGAGAGAGAGCCACGGGCCCTGTCACAGGGTTTGGTTGGTGCTTGAGAGCCAGGCACAGGTTCTGAGGAGCCGTAAGTAGCCCAGGGCAGGCCTAGGCTGCTTTCTGCAGCCGCCAGCCCATGTGGAGAACCTGACGGCCACAGTGCAGGGCTTGTCAGGTCCAGAGGGCTCAGTGATGGCCCCTTATGCCATGGGCCCAGCAAGGAGCTGCAGGGCAGGCAGCCTCGGTCCCCACAGCCCCTGTGCTGGGGAGAGCTTTCTCCTCCCTGAAGAAAGGTGAGATTTTTTTATATGGGAACCACACTTGTTTATCTTTTTAACTCTCCTTTGGGAGAAATACACTACGTGGTCTGGCCCTGGCTACCTCTTCACTCTCAGCTCCTTCCACTCTGCCCTTCATTCGAGGCCTCTGATCACCCTTGGCCGCCCTGCAGTGTGTCATGGGGGGCGCCAAGCAGGCCCCCACTCAGGGCCTCTGCCCTGCTTTTTCTGTCTGGGACTGTTCTTCGTGGCGGTCATGCGTCCATGTGGCTCGCTCACTTCCTTGTGCTGCACAGGCTTCGGCTCACACAGGCACAGATCATCTGACACGCAGCCCTGCAGCCCCCACGCCATCTCCTCACCGTGCTTTATTTTCCCTCCTCGTGCTTAGCGCTGTGTAATAGATCTGTTTCTTCATGATCTGTCTCTGCCTCTGCATTGTAAGCTGCTGTGGGAGGGGTTGCCTGTTTCATTCACTCCTGTTTTCCAAGAACCTAAAACAGTCCCTGGCCAGGGTATGCGTCCAGTTGTATAATGAATGCACGAGTGACTTGGACTAGGTTAGTGGTGTTGGAGACAGAAAGAAGTGAACCAGTCCCAGGGATGTCCAGGAGATACAGCCAGCAGGACTGTTAGACATGGAAGATAGAGGAGATGGGGTAACAAAGAAAATAAAAGCAAACAAAAGGGAGATGGGGTTGTCAGGGATGCTTGCTTGGTTTCTGGTTTGTTCTGTGACGGTTGGTGATGTCATTCAGTGAGATAGGAACACTAGAAGGAGATCAGATTTGGAGATGATGTAAATTTGGTTTTAGATTAATTGAGCTGTTTTTGGTTGACCTAGTTATCCCAGTGGCGATGACAAGTAGTGTTGATTTCGGAGTACAGTACCTCAAAATGTAGACTGAGCTTGAAATGTAAATTTGGGAGAACCTGATCAATATAGGGTGATTGAAATAATGGGAGAGGATGAGTTGGCCTAGGGAGAGTGTTCACATTACAGTAAGAGTAAGAAAGAGCCTAAGACTGAATCTTGAGGAACTCCAGCATTTCAGGAAGCCAGGCAGAGAGAAATGAACCCATAGGGAAGACAGGTAAAAGCGTACTGTAAGGAAAATCAGGAGAGGCAGGTGACATTGGAGGCAAGGCTCATGATGGAATGGTAGCAGTAGATGGGGAAAAGTAGACGAATGTGAGGCAGATTTAGATGGCAGAATAAACAGGTCTTGGTAATTGATTAGATGAGGGGGCTGAGGGAGGGAGAATTATTAAGGATAACTCTTAAGGTTTTGATTCAGAGGTGGTGCCATTTACAGAGACAAGGGGTTGACCAGGTCGGAGGGAAGAATCGTGAGTGTGGTTTTAGGTGTGTTGACTTTGAGGCATCTGAACTGCTCTTTTGAGTAGGTCGTCTGTAAGGGGGAGTCGAGTATGGGAGATATCTTGCTTAGAGGATGAGTCTATGATTGAAGTTGCCTGTGGAAAGATGCAGAGTGAGAAGAACTGGGGGCCTAGAACTAAAGCTAAGGCACTCCAAGGATGATAAACTGTGGTACGTCCACACAGCTGTAAAGTGGAATGAGGAGGACCTCTGTAACTTCTACTATGGAGTGATCTCCAGAATGTGAGAATAAGTGCAGAACAGCACAGTTAGTACTGTTATCTAAGAAAGGTGGGTGGGAATACCAAGAAAAGTGTGTGTGTATTTACTTACACTGTCATGGAGCACATAATGTTTCAGTCAATGATAGCCTACATATATGATGATGCTCCCATAGATGATAATACTGCATTTTTCCTGTCCCTTTTCTATGTTTTAATATGTTGAGATGCACAAATACTTACAATTGTGTTACAGTAGCCTACAGTATTCAGCTAAGTAACATGCTGTATAGGGGTATAGCCTAGGTGTGTAGTAGCCTATACCATCTAGATTTGTGTAACACACTCTGATGACTGCACAACATCGCCAACAACGCGTATCTCAGAACATATCCCAGTCATTAAGCAGTGCAATTATTTTTTTTAGAAAGATAAAAGCAAAAGAAAAAAAAGGAGATCAATAAAAATGGTTATCTCTAAGGTGAAGGAAGAAAAAGGATGGAACAGGGGTAGAATCTATGACTTTTTGAGGTCTCAAAATTTTGACTTCAGAACTATAAAAATGGTTTATAAAATTATAAGACAAAATTAAACAAAAATGAGAAAGTACCCCCTACATATTGAAAGCAGAATGAAACAACCCTAATTGTGTTCCAGGTTGGTGGCTTAGCCACAAAAAGAATTATTTGAATTGCCTTTACATTGCAGCAGTTTGACTTATTAGTGTAGGTATTCTAGGGGCAAAAGTAACTGCAAGCAGTGGTGTTAATTTTGATGGATGTGCTAAGAGCGGTTTTGATGTTTTTACAGATGAAATGATTTTGCTGTCTGGGATGTGCTCTAGCATAACCTAGTGGACGAGATGAAAGGGTTTGTGTTAGTTTGCTAGGGCTCCATACTGAAGTACCACAAGCTTCGTGGCTTAAAACAGTAGAGATTTACTGTCTCACAGTTCTGAAGGTCAAAATCAAGATATTCGCAGGGCCCCGCTCCCTCTGAGACTCTGCATAGAATTCTTCCTTGCCTTTTGCTAGCTTGTAGCGATGGCCAACTTGGAGATCTCCGTGGCCTGCAGCTGCATCAGTCCTATCTGTGCCTCCGTCTTCACACTGTGTTCGCCCGGTGTCTTCACATCATCTTTCCTTCTGGATGCCTGTGTCCAAATTTCCCCAGTTTACGGGGACAGCAGTCACGCTGGATTAGGGCTCACCCCAATGACTTCATCTTAATTTGATTGAACGTGCAAAGACCATATTTTAAAGTAAGGTCACGTTCTGAGGTCCTGGAAGTTAGGACTTCTACGTCTCTCTTTTGAATGATGCGGTTCAGCCCATAACAAGGTTGTCAATAGAATAGTGTTGCTGGTTATTGAAACTGGCTGGAGATTCACTGTACAATTCACACTACTTTTACATATGCTGAAAATTTCTATGTTAAAAGCTTTAAAAATAAGAGTTACCACAACAACATTTCTAAAACAGCTTTTCTCTTTTCCACCAGCACAAAGATGATAGAGGATGTTTACAAATAGGCAGTACTACCCCCATCATGGTTTATGTGCAGTTCCCAGCAGATTGCTCCTTGAGTTCTCTGACTCTAGAAAACCTTGTGAGACTGCAAATGCAAGTGACATTTTTTTTTTTTTTTGAGACGGAGTCTCGCTCTGTCGCCCAGGCTGGAGTGCGGTGGCGGGATCTCGGCTCACTGCAAGCTCCGCCTCCCGGGTTCACGCCATTCTCCTGCCTCAGCCTCCCAAGTAGCTGGGACTACAGGCGCCCGCCACTACGCCCGGCTAATTTTTTGTATTTTTAGTAGAGACGGGGTTTCACCGTTTTAGCCGGGATGGTCTCGATCTCCTGACCTCGTGATCCGCCCGCCTCGGCCTCCCAAAGTGCTGGGATTACAGGCGTGAGCCACCGCGCCCGGCCGCAAGTGACATTTTTATAGGTGGAGCTTTTACTCTGACTAGCTATAGGATAAGGTGGGGGTGGATACTTCAGCAAATAAGTCTGGAAAACTGACTTGCATTCAAAGACTTGGGTGCTGCCTTCAGCCCTTGTGCTACCCCTTCATCTAGCCTATGGCGATTCCTTTCACATCCTATCTTATATGTCAATTCTTACGAAACACTCCAGCAGCGTCCTGCTGCACCCCTTTTCTACCTGCACCCTCACTATCTAAGGACAGTTGGATATGATTCTAAGCTCGTGTTCACGTCCATTTCTAGCTTATGTTTCTATTGTAGAAATTGTCACATTGTATTGTGATTACCTACTGATGTCTTCATTTCTAATGTCTGACTATAAACTCTCTGAAGAAATCAACTGTTCCTTTTAATTACTGGATCCGTAGGGAACTGTGGATCACCGATGCCTAGGATAGAGCCTAATACATAGTAGGTACTTTTTAAATATTTGATAAATTAATAAAGTAAGGCGTGACCAATGCTTTTTGAAATAACATGACCAATTCTGTGTATTAAGAGGGGTAAATCCAGTGGGAAATAATACTGGAAAGGCAAGAAACAGGTCAAAGGAATAACTTAAGATCAGGAGCAAGTCACTCTACAGTGAGGAGATCCTGAACTTAGACATATTCACGATGGCTTATTAGAGACATTTTAGTGATGAGATTTAAGAGAATGTGCAGCCTGGGCAACACAATGAAACCCTGTCACTACGCAAGATAAAAATATTAGCCAAGCTTGGCAGTGTGCACCCGTAGTTCCTGCTGCTCAGGAGGCTGAGGTGGGAGAATCGCTTGAGCCCTGGAGTTTGAGGCTGCAGTGAGCTATGATGGCACCAGTGCATTTCAGCCTGGGCAACAGAGCAAGACCCTGTCTCTCAAAAAACAAAAAAATGAAGATTTTGATGACTGCCTAGGGAAGAGAAATTCTAAGATAAAACTAAGAATTTACGGTAAATTAACTGAAGAGATGATGGTGTCATTTTGAACTGGAAAACATATAAAAAAGGTTTGAAAAGGAATGCTCTGGGTTCAGATTTGGACAGGCTGAATTTAAAAAGAAAGATACACAAGTGGAAATTCTAACCGGCAGTTGGAAAGACCTCTGTAAAGTATTTTTCAGGATAGTCGTACACATAAGAGGTGTGGGAGTAAATGAAATCATCCAGGGAGATAGGGTTGAAGAAACACTCTCTGGGTGTAGTGAGAGTCCAGGTGGAAGAGTCTAGACCTGATAACAGGAAGTGGTCAGGGCAGTGGCCATCAGCAAGATGATTCTGGCTTCTCAACTTCTGACCTAGGTCTTCACCTTGTTTAACAGGTAGCTGAGGACTGGGCTTGATTCTAGGAGGAAGCAAAGGTTGAACTGCACCTCAGGAGACCTATTTGTAGGCCTCTAGAAAGTTCTAAACAGATCATAAGGAAGAGTCAGGATATCCACAATCCAAAACTTACGTCTGCTTCTGTGAAAAACATGATTTCAGGACTAAAATATTGGCACTTTAGAGTTGGGATGAGTTTTCCAGAATTGATAATGGACTTCCGAGTCGTAATCATATCCATTAAAAAATAAAAGCTCCCCATGTCACATTTGCTTACTCTCCTTTAGAAACTGTTGAAAAGGGTTTCTGCTCTTGATGTTTCTATTTTCTCACCTCCCATTGTTTCCTCCATGCACTCCAGCTGGGCTTTCTTCCTTATAATTCCACTGATAGCTCTGTTATTAAATCCCAAACAACCTCCGTCTTGCCACAATCAGGATTAAGTTTTTAGTCCTCAAATTATTTGCCACAGTTATTCACTCCTCCCTGAAGTACTTCTTCCCTTGGCTTCTGGAACACTGTACTCTCCTGATATTATTCTTCTTAACCTCGTAATATTTCAGTGTCTAAGTGATTCCTTTCAGTTCTTCAGCTTTAAATCAAACCCACATGCTGCTGACCCCCAAATGCCTGTCTATAGCTCTGACCTCCCCCAGATCTCCAGAATAATAAATACAATCTAGTATTTCAGTATCTTCCTGCAACTCTATTAAGGCATCTCAGCCATCACAAACATACCAGAAACAGAATGCCCCCTCAGCCTTGCCCCTTTCCTGGTCTTCCCCTTCTAGCCTTGCCCCTTTCCTGGTCTTTCCCTTCTTGGTGGTTGGTGGCAGCTCTCAGAATTCTGGCTAGAAACCTAGGCATGATCCCTAACTTTCCTGTTTCCCTCTCAGCTTCCTGGGAGTCCTGAGTCTTGTTATTCTTGGTCCCGCTAGCTCTTCCTTCACTGTACAGCCTGGCATAGTCATCTGTACCTCCAGCCCTTTCTCACGTGAAGAGCTGCAGTAGCTTCTTCAGTAGCCTCTCCCCTCCCTGCTTCCACTGGTGCCCCAGCGTAGTCGGTCCACGCAGCAGCCAACTCAAATGAACACATAATTCCCCAGTGGCTTCCCGTAGGCTTAAATTCCAGTCCTTAGGATGACCTGGGCCTTAGAGGATTTGTCCCCCACCTCCTGCTCCACTCTTTTGTTTTTTATTTTTTGTTTACTTTTTTTTTTTTTTTTTTTGAGATGGAGTCTCACTCTGTCGCCCAGGCTGGTGTGCAGTCATGTGATCTGGGCTCACTGCAGCCTCTGCCTCCTGGGTTCAAGCAATTCTCTGCCTCAGCCTCCCGAGTACCTGGGATTATGGGCGTGTGCCACCACACCCGGCTGATTTTTGTATTTTTAGTAGATAACAGATTTCACCGTGTTGGCCAGGCTGGCCTTGAATTCCTGATCTCAGGTGATGCACCCACCTCGGCCTCCCAAAGTGCTAGGATTGCAGCTGTGAGCCACCACGCCCGGCCCCGTTCCAGGCTTATTTTATCATTTCACCATTTTCCCTCTTCTCGCTCTACTCTGGCCAGTCTCTCTGCTGTTCCTAAGTCAGCCTCACTTTTGTGTGTGTTGGTTCCTTTGCCCAGGGAGCTCTTGAGCACTTTCTTCAGCTATCCACATGACTTTTATTACGTACTTGTTATTTGTCCCTTCATCCCCCTCCTTCCCCAGCACATGCGCACACTCCAAAGTATAAGCTCCTTAAAGGCTGGAACCCTGTCTTATTGAATACATTATCTGCATTCCCCAGAACATTACCTGGCCCATAGTAGGCACTTAATGAGTACTTGTGAATGGAAAGGATGCTGCCAGCATATGTAAAGATAAACAAGTCAAGTCATGGAGTGCTCCTGAAGCTGCATGTAGTTCAGCATACCTGGCAAGAAGCCAGGGAAGAGGGGGTGAGGACAGGTGGATAAAGGTCAGATCAGATAGTACTCTATTCACCATGTTAAGGACGCCTAAGAGTCTTCAAGACTCTTAAGAGACTTCAGATGTGAATCATTGAAAATCTATTGGAGGACCTTAAGGAAGTTTGCCACATAGTAAAATATTGATCTTAGAAAGATTGGCCGGGCATGATGGCTCACACCTGTAATCCCAGCGCTTTGGGGAGGCTGAGGTGGGCGGAACATGAGATCAGGAGTTCGAGACCAGCCTGACCAACATGGTGAAACCCTGTCTCTACTAAAAATACAAAAATTAGCCAGGTGTGGTGGCGCACACCTGTAATCCCAGCTACTTAGGAGGCTGAGGCAGGAGAATCACTTGAACCTGGGAGGGGGAGGTTGCAGTGAGCCGAGGTCGCGCCACTGCACTCCAGCCTGGGTGACACAGTGAGACTCCATCTCAAAAAAAAAAAAAACCACAGAGATTATTCTGGCTGCAGTGTGGAGACTGAATTGGCAGAGGGCAAGACTAGTTAGGAGATTATGGTAGAGATAGTAATGCATGGCAAACAAAATACCACTTAAGTACCTGATCCCCGTGCTCAGGGCTGTAGCAAAGGTGAGGGACCTTTCTTTACACTAGGCCTAAGGCAGGTTCTGTATCATTGCCTTACAAGCTAGAATCCAAGTTGCAGAATCTTGCTGCTGCCTTCTTCCCAGCACATATATTAAGCCTAGAAACAACGACCGATATTCACAGGGAAAAAGCACTTCATTTTTGCCACTGCCCCCTCCATATATTTGGCCTAAATAATGTATTAAAATTTGATCACTTAATTTAGCAAGACTGAAACGGAGAAGGAACTAGGAAGGTGTTAAGCATAAAGTTAAGAAACTCTGCTTTCCCTTACAGTAAATAGTATAAAGATATAAGGCATGTGAAGTTAGTCAGGGAGGGTGTGTGGAGTGAAAAAAAAATCCAAAACCCTAGGGAATACCATTATTTAAAGAAGGAATGGAAGAAGAGTTATCCATGAAGGGAACTAGTAAGTGAACACTAATAAGGGAAAAGCAAGATGTATTGTGTTTGTTAAGCAGAAGTAATTTGTAGATGTGTGAAAGTGACTGTCATACAGGAATCGCAAATACAGTGAGACACAAATGGTCCCTTTAAACAGTTACCTCTACCCCAAGAGAAGATGCTAAGACTATGTGCATAACCGTTCCCCTGAGAGAATTTACTATCTATTGAATTGTGTTCTTATCCAATTTTAATATTTCTTCACTTCTGTTCTTTACTTTTCCATGTTAACCATGCTTTATCTTATATATCCATGCCTGTCTTATTGTTGATCTTTGACTCTTTTCAGCCATCCCATGTAACCTCTCTTGCTTGATGCATGAGTAGGCTGCCTTCCTATCTTGCACCTCTTGGCTCTAGGCCTGTCTTGTGGCACCTCTTGTCGATTAATTCAATAACAGGGCCCTCCTGTTTGAACTGGCCCTGAAACCTCTCTAATCACCCATGTACTGGCCTAGGAGGCAACTTCTACAAGGGTCTGAAATGTGTATGTGTATGTATGTATAACACATGTGCATATTTGTATATATATGAAGTATGTATGTGTATGTATGTATAACACATGTGCATATTTGTATATATATGAAATACGTAAGAATATTTGACATTGTTCCAGTTAGGAATGTATAAGTAATTAAGGCAGATTAACAAAACATACAACTTTTGTATATAATTGGAGTGCTGTCAAGAGGATCTGTAGGAAAATAGGGCATTCTGATCTGCTTGTGAAGAACAGTTACTTCAGAAAAGGAAAGTGAGATACATACAGACATAGATATAGAACTATAATATACTATATATGTGTGCATATATTATAAAGGTCAGTAATACATATGTTTAATACTCTGGTAAGTGCTATAGTAAGGAGAAGGGACCGTGGCTGCTCAGAGTCAAAGGATTGAGAGAGTCCATTTTTGAACTGAATCTGAAGGATATAAGGGAATTTGACATGGGGTGGAGGGACTTTCCAGATTAAGAATAATTATATAAAGGCTGAGCACAGTGGCTCATGCCTGTAATCCAAGCACTTTGGGAGGCCGAGGTGGGTAGATCACTTGAGGTCAGGAGTTCAAGGCCAGCCTGGCCAACACGGTGAAACCCTGTCTCTACTAAAAATACAAAAATTAGCCAGGCATGATGGTGGGTGCCTGTAATCCCAGCTACTCAGGAGGCTGAGGCACAAGAATTGCTTGAAGCCAGGAGACCGGTTGCAGTGAGCCGAGATCGCGCCACTGCACTCGAGCCTGGGCGACAGAGTGAGACTGTCTCAAAAAAAATTACACAAAGAAGATAAATGTCAAAAAAAAAAAACAAAAAAAAATTAGGATTCCATCATGGGTTTTGGGTCCTAACCCCAAACTTCCTCTTTCAACTCATGATCCCTTTATAACCCTTTTCTCTGTTCTTCATTAGCCAATTCTTCTGGTCACTCTTTCTCACCCTCTTTAAATGGGTTTGCTTTATTTTATTCTTCACCCTAGTACTTAAATTGCTGTCAATTATATTTTATTATACTGTCTAACTGTCCTATTTTTTCTTTTTGCAATTTTTTTCATACAGATATCAGGGTCTTATTTAAATGTCACCAATATTTATTCCTTCTACACTTTTAGTCTCAGTAGTCAGATGCTATGATATCACATGAAACATTTTTGATTTTTTTTTTCCCTCCAGGATCGAAGAGCAGTCATAAAACCACAAAGTCAACGCAAACACAAGACTCTTCATTTCAGGGACTGATACTGAAAAGATCCAACAGGAATGTACCTTGGGATTTGAAATTAGAAAAGCCTTACATATATGAAGGCAGATTAGAGAAAAAGCAGGATAAAAAGGGAAGTTTTCAGATAGTTTCAGCCACCCACAAAAAAATCCCCACTATAGAAAGAAGCCATAAAAATACTGAATTGAGCCAAAACTTCAGCCCAAAGTCAGTGCTTATTAGGCAACAGATACTTCCCAGAGAAAAAACACCACCAAAATGTGAAATACAAGGAAACAGCCTCAAACAGAATTCACAATTACTTAATCAACCAAAAATTACAGCAGATAAACGCTATAAATGTAGTCTGTGTGAAAAAACCTTCATTAACACTTCATCCCTTCGTAAACATGAGAAAAACCATAGTGGAGAGAAACTATTTAAGTGTAAAGAATGTTCAAAAGCCTTTAGCCAAAGTTCAGCTCTTATTCAACATCAAATAACGCATACTGGAGAGAAACCCTACATATGTAAAGAATGTGGGAAAGCCTTTACTCTCAGTACATCCCTTTATAAACATCTAAGAACCCATACTGTGGAGAAATCCTACAGATGTAAAGAATGTGGTAAATCCTTCAGCCGAAGGTCAGGCCTTTTTATACATCAAAAAATTCATGCTGAAGAAAACCCTTGTAAGTATAATCCGGGTAGGAAGGCATCTAGTTGCAGCACATCCCTTTCTGGATGTCAAAGAATTCATTCTAGAAAGAAGTCCTACTTATGTAATGAATGTGGCAACACCTTTAAGTCTAGCTCATCCCTTCGTTATCATCAGAGAATTCACACTGGAGAGAAGCCTTTTAAATGTAGTGAATGTGGGAGAGCCTTCAGCCAGAGTGCCTCTCTTATTCAACATGAAAGAATTCACACCGGAGAAAAGCCCTATAGATGCAATGAATGTGGGAAAGGCTTTACTTCTATTTCACGACTTAATAGACACCGAATCATTCATACTGGAGAGAAGTTTTATAATTGTAATGAATGTGGTAAAGCCTTAAGCTCCCACTCAACACTTATTATTCACGAGCGAATTCATACTGGAGAAAAACCATGTAAATGTAAAGTATGTGGAAAAGCCTTCAGACAGAGTTCAGCTCTCATTCAACATCAGAGAATGCATACTGGAGAAAGACCCTATAAATGTAACGAGTGTGGGAAAACATTCAGGTGTAACTCATCACTTAGTAATCACCAGAGAATTCATACTGGAGAGAAACCATATCGATGTGAGGAATGTGGGATATCTTTTGGCCAAAGTTCAGCTCTTATTCAGCATCGAAGGATTCATACAGGAGAAAAACCCTTTAAATGTAATACATGTGGAAAAACTTTTAGACAAAGCTCATCACGTATTGCACATCAGAGAATTCATACTGGAGAGAAACCCTATGAATGTAATACATGTGGGAAACTTTTCAACCATAGGTCATCCCTTACTAATCATTATAAAATTCATATCGAAGAGGACCCCTAGAAAGTAGATTTGTATGTGTGAAAGCCTTAAACCAAAGCTCATCGAAGAATACATCCTTGAGAGAGATGTAATAAATGTAATGGATGTGAAAAAAACTGTAATAATTTAGCCCTCATTAGGTATTTAATTCCATGGATAAACCTCAGCTATATAATAGATATGAGGAAAGTGTTTGTGCCTGTCAGACACTTAAAAAAATAACCTGAGATGAAGAATTTACAATTGAAGACATTGACTTTAGCCATTTGTGAAATGGGTTTGCTTTTTCCCTTTTCCTACAGACGTATATGCTAGATGTCACGTGATCATCAGAAACAGATATCCGAGTGGGTGGGGAGGTGTGCTTTAGATTTCTCATTAGAAGACCACCAAACTGGTAATATTTTTATAGCATTTTAATAGCTTGATCAAATTGTACCTTTTTAGAGAAAAGGACCAAAATAAAAGAAAAATGAATTATGAACTACCTCTCAGTCTCTGGGGTTTGTCCTTTTCCTACCCTGATGTCAAACTTATGCATGGATTTCATTAAAAAAGAAAAAGAAAAATCTGGTCTTTTGTTCTAGTAGTTGTGAATTTTCTACTCAACTGTCTTAACTTGGTTTTGGATTTTATTTCTCTGAAGTCATTTATTAGGTGTACCAGTTATATGCCCTGAACTGTATTAGATAGAAAAACAGGCAATAATTTCAGGTTTAAAGCTACTAAATATGTATGTATGTATTTATTATTATTATTTTTATTTTGAGATGGAGTCTCTGTCACCCAGGCTGGAGTGCAATGGTGCGATCTCGGCTCACTGCAACCTCCGCCTCCCAGGTTCAAGCAATTCTCCTGCCTCAGCCTCTCGAGTAGCTGGGATTACAGGCACCTGCCACCACACCCGGCTATTTTGTATTTTTAGTAGAGACAGGGTTTCTCCATGTTGGCCAGGCTGGTCTTGAACTCCTGACCTCAGGTGATCTGCCTGCCACGGCCTCCCAAAGTGCTGGGATTACAGGTGTGAGCCACCGTGCCCGGCCACCCTAAATATGTATTTTTTAAATTTATAACGAACACATCAGAAGAACTTTCGCAAATCTAACACCTGTGGCAAACTCTTGAAAAGGACATTGCTATGGTCTCAATGTTTATGTCTCCCCCAAATCCCTGTGTTCAAATGCTAACCTCCAAGGTGATGGTATCATGAAGTGGGATGTGTGAAGAGGTGATCAGATCAGAAGGGCGGAGCCCTCAGTGCCCTTATCAGAGAGCCCCAAGGGAGCTTGTTCTGCCCTTCAGCCATGTGAAGGCACAGTGGTAAGATACCTTCTTTGAATCAAGATGGCCATAACCAGACACCAAACCTGCTAGCACTTTAAATGGGTTTCCCAGCCTCCAGAACTGTGAGAAATATTTTATTAGTTACCTAGTATGATGAGGTTATTTTGTTACAGCAGCCCAAACAAGACATGTGAATTGTTTCATAAACTTAGTGTAGTGTGACAGATCCCCTACCAGGTTACCTAAGGGTTTATATCCACTACTTGAGCCCTGAAGTCTGGACAGTAAGCAGAGGCCATGGTGCCCAGCTGAGGAGCAAGTGTCCCTGAGAACCCAAACATCCCAGAGTATCTGGGAACACACTAAGCAAACAGTCCAATCACACACGAGGCAAAGAGCCAGAAAACTGGCTTAAAAGCAGCTTAGAGGTGCGAGGTGGTGCAGATCTCCAGAGCTGTCCTGCTGCAGTCCAGGAGAGCCCTGTATGGAAGTCATAATAAACTCATCTGCTCATCAAGCTGGACTTGTCTGAGTCATTCTTTGGTCTCTCGGCTCCTTCCCAGTTTGAGGGGGGACATTACAGTCCTAAGTTTTTCTCAACAGTAAATATTTTTTAACTTTGGAGCAGGTACTATACAAGTTTACAAGTTTTAAAACTGTACAAGTTTTAAGACAGACACAGGCTTTTCTTCAAGAAGCCATGAATTGGGAAGGGGATGGAGTTGGGCTAGCAAATGAGCAAGCAGATTATATTGCAGTTTTTGTTGTTTCAGTAGGCAAATAAGTTATGACAATATGTTCCACTATGAAAATATTGTAAAGATTTGCACAGGATGAAGAAAGAGACTCATGAAGAAAGCCTGGAGACATCAAAGCTTTCCAGGGGCAATGATGCCTGGGCTATATTTGGGGAGAATAGTAGGAACTCCGAGGGAGACAGAAGCATTCCGATTAAGAGGAAACAGCATGCGCCAAACCACAGGTGGATAATAGGACATTTGGAAAACTTAATTTAGAACTAGTGAGCAGGAAAATGACAAATGTTAAAGCTCGAGTAGAAGGCAGAAGCCAAATCACAAAAGGCCTTATTTGCCAAGCTAAGGAGTTTGGATTTTATGGTAAAATCGGTGGAGTCAAAGATGGTAAGCAAGGGAAATTCCATAGAAGATAAGCGTATGGGGTTGAAGAAAGCTGATGACTGATGCCACCCAGGAAATCTGGGCTGTTTAAATTCAAGTAATAGGTAAATGAGGGTTCCAACTCAAACAGGGACAGCATTGATGGAGAACAGGAGACAGATAATCATGTATTAGAATAAATAAGGCATGGTTTTCATAGGCAAATAGGTGAGAGTGGCAAGTGAGGAGAAAGCTGACTCACAGGTAGGGTTGCCAAACGTCCTGTATTTAATGATTTTGTCCTGAATCCTGTATTAACTTTGTTAGGATGCCTTAAATGTATTCAGGGTTTCTCCCCTCATTAATGAAAAATCAGCACTTTGAGCTACGGTTCTGCTTCAGTAATTGGCGCTTAAATCGCTTAAGTGGCAATACAAGTTGGAAATCATACCTCCACAAATAAAGATCTGAACCATCTCTTATGTTTTATCCTATGTGTTTGACTGAGGGAAGGCAAAAGGGGGAAGTGAGAATAAAAGTACTTGTTTTCCGTATTAAAGAAAGGAAAAGACTGTTCTTTTGGCCAAATTCCTAAGTTGTAAAATAATCCCCAATAATTAGATCTTTGGATCAGTACACGTGGTCTGAAAAATCAATGATGGCCTCGCTGCCAGCAGCCATGCTTCTGAAATCAACTTCCTGACAGCCTCCAGCTTCTGAATGCCACTTGAGTGCTGCTTCTAGACCACGGTTGGTCAGCAAGTCCCTCCTTCCAGTGACCGTGCTTCTGGAAGTTAGCCAGTCGACAACCGTCTAATTCCAGTGACCACACTAACACGCTTGAAAATCTAACAGTCCATAAACATCCCTGCCTCTGAAAATTCGCCAGTCCCAGACACTGAGCTGCTTAAAATTTTGGATAAGATCAGCTCTGGCTTTCTTCAGGGATCCTGTTACTGCAAACACAGTTCTCCCTTGCAGGCATGCATCAAGTTCGACTTTTCTGTGTCACATATCAAGTTCAAGTTTATTGTTAGTTTGTAAGCTTCCAACCTTTCAATAGCTCAGCCTCAATTTATTGGTAATTATGCTTCACTCTTGTGAGTGAGATGATCGAAATTAGTATTTTCAATTATTGTTATTAACTTATTTTTTATTTTATATTTTGTGTTAAGGATACTTAATATGAGATCTACCCTATTGCCTATTTTCATTTATGTATATTTGAATCAAAATGCAAGTATAAGTTTCATGATTAATTTTTAAAATATTTGGTATCAGAGAAAAGATGTTTTGAAGCTCTTTCTACAGTACACAATTGTTCATTCAGTATTGAACATATTGGAAAGTCAGATATAAGGCAGGATATACTAACAGCTAAGCCTAAGTGATAGATGATTTCCTCAAATAGTGCTAAAGAAACGGATAAAGTAACAAATTTTCCGATGAAAGGAAATTCAGATAAAAATAAAACAACCATAGCAGAAATTGTAATGACTTTCCACACTCAATCTTTTCAGCTCAAATGACCAATGGAAACACACCAAAAGTATTTCCTGCTTCCAAAATTGCAAACGAATTTTCAAGTGCCAGGATAAAATCTGCAGTAATAAAAATGTAATCTTTCTGTTTACTATTAGAGACTATATAAAAGATCTAAAATGTCTCTTTTTACAGTATAACCCCAGATGCAAATAATCACAATGAGAATTTTTTTTTTTTTTTTTTTTTTTTTTTTTTTGCCTCTGCAATGTTTTTCTTTTGAAAACCTGTGCTTATAAAGCTATCTTATCCCTTCTAGATGAGACCTGGGAAATTGAAGCTTTTTGCAGAAACTAAATTGAGTTAATAAGTCAAATTGTATTCCTTTGGTTGATATAATACAAATACAAATTTATGTAGATGTGTAGAAGTGCAAACAATTTTTTTTTTTTTTTTTGAGACGGGGTCTCGCATTGTCGCCTGGCCTGGAGTGTAATGGTAAGATCTCGGCTCACTGCAACCTCCGCCTCCCGGGTTCAAGCGATTTTCATGCCTCAGCCACCCAAGTAGCTGGGATTACAGGCACCTGCCACCATGCCCGGCTAATTTTTTTTTTTTTTTTTTTTTTTTTTTTGTATTTTTAGTGGAGATGGGGTTTCACCATGTTGGCCAGACTGGTCTCGAACTCCTGACCTCATGATCCACCCGCCTCAGCCTCCCAAAGTGCTGGGATTACAGGAGTGAGCCACCGCGCCCCGCCAGAAGTGCAAACAATTGTTATTCAAAATTAAAGCAAAGCCTGAAGTAGGCTGTAGAAGGTGTCCTATCCATATTCTGCGTTTCTGCATGATGCTACACAGACAACCTCTGATAGCCATCCTATTGACACTGAAGTCATCATGAAATTGTTCCCTTCCTCGGCATTTAAACTGTTTAAACTGAGCAGTTAAAGGACTTTTGTGATTCTGTTGTCATTCGATATTCTTCTATTCTTCATTCTTCAATTCTCTCTTTCATTCTCTAGCACTCAGAAATTTGTTGGAACCCCCAGTTTCAACTACAACATGCAAACGGCTTGGAAGTAGTCACCCCTATCCTTATAAGAAAAAGCTAGTCAAGCTGAAAAGCAGTGACTTTTATCTTTCTGAGAACTGAAGTCACAACTGTGAAATCTGGAGAGACGGGTGTATCCAGAGACACAGCTGAGATCTGTTTACTTGGAGCCCACTGGAGCCAAAACTGGTCGGAAAACTAACAGGTAATTTTGATGAATTGCTGGAGGTTGAATATGGACTAAACTGAGAATGTGGAACTTCTGGGTCCATAGTCATAACGGGTCCCGCATACCGCCACTGCCATTAGCTCCAGGAATCCCAGCAGATTCCCAAGGTCATGATCTGAGAAATATCCCCTGAGGGCTGTGGCAGAAGAAGGGGAATCATTGTGAAATACACCCAGAGTCTTCTCCATAAAAGCCGACACTCTAGGGAAAAAAAGCTTGCCAGAGTCTTATGCTAGCTGGAGGAAGGACATTCCCCATTCTCTCTATCCTTCCTGTCTCACCTAAGGGAGAGGAAACTGTCAACATGGCTCAACACTTTGAGGATTCCAGTAGATTGGAATCCTGCAAGCAGGAGAGGGAGGGCAGGGCAAGGAGGCAAAGTTATACCACTGGAGAACACTTGAGTAGGTCCCAGCCCTTGGACACACGAGTACTGACAGATTTAACTGGAAGATTATAGAATGCACCCCCTCTGCCACCATCCCAGCAGAGCCGCAGTGCAACAGCGCTGGGTTATAGCAGACAGAGCCACAGACTGTCCCCGAGGAGGACCATTTGGGGAAATTCAGTTACAAGTGGAGATGAAAGCAAGGATACTAGAGGAATTTGAAGCCCCTGGCACCTATGGCTAGGCAATTTCTACCAAAATTAATATAAATAAAGGAGCTAATGAAAATGATTACACATCATGAACTTCTGGGATTTATCCCAGAAGTCCAATGTTGGTTCAACATATGAAAATCAACCACACCACATTTAATAGAATGGGTAGGGGGGAATGTGTTTATCTTCAGGCGGAAAAAGCATTTCACAAAATGCAGCTAACTCTACAGTTACACCAAGGTTGGGATTTCAGCACTTCCTCTTTCACTGGAAACTCAGTGAGGTCGAAAAGAATTCAGAAATAATGGATGTTCATTCGTGCAAAATAAGACAACCTCTTTTTTTGTTTTGTTTTGAGACAGAGTCTCACTCTGTCACTCAGGCTGGAGTGCAGTGGTGTGATCTCGGCTCACTGCAAGCTCTGCCTCCCGGGTTCACGCCTTTCCCCTGCCTCAGCCTCCTGAGTAGCTGGGACTACAGGCGCCCACCACCACGCCCAGCTAAGTTTTTGTATTTTTAGTAGAGATGGGGTTTCACTGTGTTAGCCAGGATGGTCTGGATCTCCTGACCTCGTGATCCTCCCGCCTCGGCCTCCCAAAGTGGTGGGGATTACAGACGTGAGCCACCATGCCCAGCCAAGACAACCTCCTATTTTGCAGTTGGGGATACGGGGCCCAGAATCCTTCCAAATCCTTGTGCAAGTTGAAGGCAGTCACACCCTCACCCAGGTATCCAATCAAACCCTGGATTAGGCGCTGCCCTGAAGGGATTTGGCTGATGCCATCAAAGTCCCAAATCCTTAAGCTAATCATCAGGGAGTACATCTTGGAGGGTGAGATATAAGTTCTCCTTTTTTGCAGGGGAAGACACGGGGACCCAGAGAGAGCAGAGGATGTGCCTGAGCTCACAGAGCAAGTGAAAGTGCTGAGACTCAGTCTCAGACTCTCATTGAGAAGCAAGGTCTTAGGCCGGGCGTGGTGGCTCATGCCTGTAATCCCATCACTTTGGGAGACCGAGGCGGGCAGATCACGAGGTCAGGAGATCGAGACCATCCTGGCCAACATGGCAAAACCCCATCTCTACTAAAAATACAGAAAGTAGCCAGGATTGCTTGCGCATGCCTGTAATCCAGCTACTGGGGATGCTGAGGAAGGAGAATTGCTTGAACTTGGGAGGCAGAGGCTGTAGTGAGCCAAGATTGTGCCACTGCACTCCAGCCTGGGTGACAGAGCAAGATTCCGTCTCAAAAAAAAAAAAAGAAAAGAAGAAAACCAAGGTCTTGATACCCAGCACCCACTGCAAGTCATGGCCTCTTCCTTGACATTGGGGCTGGCTTCTGCCCCCAGGCCTTGTGCTCCCGTCCGGCACAGCGATGGTCACTGCCTGGAAAAGTGCCTGTGGCCCCTCTGTCTCCACTCTCCAGTCTCATCCCCTGTGCCTGCCTCTCCTTCCACGGCTGGGTTAAGAGTGTGGAAGTTCTCTCTCTGCTCTCAACTTCTGTTTCCTGACACTTTATTGCTATCCCTAAAATACTATATTCTTTTGTCACTAAAACAGTGACTCCTTATCTGCAAAAGCAACTCTTCCGGTTCTCATCCGTAGCTCAGGGGACACTTCTGACATTCCTGTAGACATCCGCAATTTCTGACTTGCTCCCCAAATCTCTTCTGTTGACAACTATTTCTGCCCAGGAACCCTGATATCACTACATACCCATTTGTTTTAGTCCATTTGGGCTACTACAGTGTAATTCCACAAACTGGCTATGTTATAAAAACAGAAATGTATTTCTCACATTGCGGAGGTTGGGAAGTCCAAGAGGAGGCTGTGGTAGATTTGGTGTCTGGTGAGGGCCCACTTTCTGGCTTATAGAAGGTGCCTTCTAGCTCCTTCTTCAGGTGGTGAAGGGGGAATCAAGCTCTCTTTGGACTCCTGTAAGGATCCTAATCCTATGCAGGAGGGCTCCACCCTCATGACTCAGCTAGTCTTAATCATCTCCCGGGGGCCTCATCCCCTCACACCATCACATTAGGCCATGGGGTTTCAACACATGAATTTTGGGGGTACGCAAGCATTCAGATGTGACACACTTAATTCTCAATTACTTTTGTCCAATGACTTCATTCCTTCCAGATCCCCTTGAATTGCAAAACTGTGGCTGTGTGAATTATTTGGGATTGGTATTGAAATAACTGGTGATTTTCTTTTAAAAATTTTTTGGGGTATATAAGTGATAATTTACTACATTCATATATTTGGTAAAAATTAGATCAGTATAATTGGGATATCAATCACCTTAAATATTTGTCATTTCTTTTTTTTTTTTTTTTTGAGACGGAGTCTTGCTCTGTCCCCCAGGCTGGAGTGCAGTGGCGTGATCTCGGCTCACTGCAACGTCTGCCTCCTGGGTTCAAGCAATTCTCCTGCCTCAGCCTCCTGAGTAGCTGGGACTATGGGCACGCGCCACCATGCCCAGCTAATTTTTGTATTTTTAGTAGAGACGGGGTTTCACCATGTTGGCCAGAATGGTCTCGATCTCCTGACCTCATGATCCACCTGCCTCAGCCTCCCAAAGTGCTGGAATTACAGGTGTGAGCCACTGCACCCAGCCAAATATTTGTCTTTTCTTTATGGTCAAGACTGTCAAATTACTCTCTCATAGCTATTTTGAAATATACAATAGATTATTGTAAACTGTAGTCACCCTACTGATCTATCAAACACTAGGTCTTATTTCTTTATCGAACTGTATATTTGTACCCATTAATCAACCTCTCTTCTCTCATAATGTTGAAAATAGAAGCAGCTCCAAGCCATGATGAAATTCACTCCCTTTATAGGCATATACTGGACCATTAGGCTTGAAAGTCGCAGGCTTTGCCCTAGAGAGGGGCCCTAGAAAGAATCCTGGGCTAGAATGGAGGACCAAGTCTCCTCAGGATTTTCTCTCCTGTGTTCCAGCTCACACTTATGAAGGGAGTGACTCATGCAAGCCAAGCGCATCACACTGTGGAGCAGGCCAAGCCCAAGCACCCTGACACGGGACCCTGCCCGTGGGCGCCCTCCGCACACCTGTGCACAGGGCTTGCCATGGGAGCGTGCCCACGCCTCACTCCTGCTGCTCCTCAGCAACAGGTGGACAAAGCAGCAGCCCTGAGGACCTGGCCTGGCCTCTCCTGTTCTGAGTGCACATGGCCTCTCCCTCAAGGCTGAGAGCCAGAGAGGAACATGATGTCTTCATGGAATCTGTTCTCTCGGGTGCTCTCTCGTGTGTCTTTGGCATGGGAAAGGCTGGGCTCTGTCTGCACAGTGGAATCGCCCTGTGTGTTTGTCTCCGTGACTGCTCTCTTCTCTGGCCTGTCTCTCACCTACTACTTCAGATCCTCTTCACACCATTTAGGGGAAAATTGACATGGGCCAGGCACAGTGGCTCACATCTGTAATCCCAGCACTTTGGGAGGCCGAGGCGGACAGATCACGAGGTCAGGAGTTCGAGACCAGCCTGGCCAACATGGTGAAACCCCATCTCTACTAAAAAATACAAAAATTAGCCGGGCGTGGTCGCAAGCACCTGTAATCCCAGCTACTCGGGAGGCTGAGGCAGAAGAATTGCTTGAACCCAAGAGGCAGAGGTTGCAGTGAGCTGAGATGGTACCACTGCACTCCAGTCTGAGCAACAGAGAGAGACTCTGTCTTGAAAAAAAAGAAAAATTGGCTGGGTGCGGTGGCTCACACCTGTATTCCCAGCCCTTTGGGAGGGCGAGGCAGGCGGATCATGAGGTCAGGAGGTCGAGACCAGCCTGGCCAATATGGTGAAAGCCCGTCTCTACTAAAAATACAAAAATTAGCTGGGCGTGGTGGCGGGTGCCTGTAGTCCCAGTTATTTGGGAGGCTGAGGCCGAAGAATCGCCTGAACCCAGGAGGCGGAGGTTGCAGTGAGCCAAGACAGTGCCACTGCACTCCAGCCTGGGCGACAGAGAGAGACTCCATGTCAAAAAAAAAAAAAAAAAGAAAAAAAAAGAAAGAAAAATTGCCACGTATTCTCTGCCAGCATTTCTTTCAAACTCCCTTGTTGCATAATACTTCATTGCTCTTAGATCGATTTCCCTTTGTCACTAGGGAACCTGAAAAGACTCCATTTCGATTTGCAAATAAAATACTTCCTTGGTACATCAGAAACTACCACTGGCTCACCCTGTCCCATTTCTTTTTTTATTTTTTTTTTTTTTAGTTAATCCAGGGAAGTTCTTTGCAATTTTTATTATTTTAAAAAATATTCGGCCGGGCGCGGTGGCTCACGCCTGTAATCCCAGGACTTTGGGAGGCCGAGGCGGGTGGATCACCTGAGGTCGGAAGTTTGAGACCAGCCTGACCAACATGGAGAAACCCCGTTTCTACTAAAAATACAAAATTAGCCGGGCATGGTGGTGCATGTTTGTAATCCCAGCTACTCGGGAGGCTGAGGTTGAACCCGGGAGGCAGAGGTTCCAGTAGGCCAAGAACACACCATTGAACTCCAGCCTGGACAAAAAGAGCAAAACTCCATCTCAAAAAATATATATTTTTAAAATAATAAATATATATTTATAAATATATAATATATAGATATATTTATATATTTAAATATATATATATTTTTGAGATGGAGTTTCACTCTTGTCACCCAGGCTGGAGTGCAGTGGCGCAATCTTGTCTCACTGCAACCTCCGCCTCCCAGGTTCAAGAGATTCTCCTACCTCAGCCTCCCACGTAGCCGGGATTACCTGCATGCACCACCATACCTGACTAATTAAAAATATATATATTTTAAATTAATCCAGGGAAACCTGTCCAGTGTGTGACCTGTGCGGACCTTCCTTCACATAGGGCACACCTCATTACTTTCAGTCACTTTCCCCCAGTATTCGACCTTGTTGCCCTACTAGTTTCCAAAAATCCAGCCAAAATTAATCATATATTAATTTTTTACACTGAAACACTGAAACAGTATCCCCTAGATTAGATGATTTTCCCAAATATTTAAAACTGAACACCCAGCTGGGCATCGTGGCTCACGCATGTAATCCCAGCACTTTGGGAGGCCGAGGAGGGCAGATCACGAGGTCAAGAGTTGGAGACCATCCTGGCTAACACAGTGAAACCCCGTCTCTACTAAAAAAATACAAAAAAAATTAGCCGGGCGTGGTGGCGGGCGCCTGTAGTCCCAGCTACTTGGGAGGCTGAGGCAGGAGAATGGCGTGAACCTGGGAGGCAGAGCTTGCAGTGAGCCGAGATCGCGCCACTGCACTCCAGCCTGGGCGACAGAGCGAGACTCCGTCTCAAAAACAAACAAACAAAAAACTGAACACCCATGTTTCCTCACCCTTGAAAAGACAAGCAGCCCTGAAAATGTGTGAAAACCATTTCTTTTAAAGTCATACTCTCCTGTCTAATCTCAAAGCTCAAGAAGTCTTTCCTAAATCAGGTCCCAATCTCCTGCCCTAGGCCCCAGAGATTCCGTGGCACTTACGTCTGTTGTCAGAAATAAAAAGGTCCCTGGCCTTCCGAGCCTCTCCAGGCTCAGCCTCTCCAAGCTCAGCCTCTCAGCCCGGATTATGCATCAGACCCACCTGGGACCCTCTGAGCTCCTCGTGCTCGGGATCAACCTGGATGGTCACACTGGAATCTCTGAGAAGGGACTCTCAGGATGGTCACACTCTCTCGGGAGTGCTAGCCTGAAGCCTGGCAGTTCTAATCTAATCTAATCTCCCACCTCCCAGGGGCCCAGTGAGGTGGGGCAGGACCAAGGTGGCCCCTGGACTCAGTGTAGTTCATGGCAAAGCCCGTGATACTCCTTTAAGGCAAAGAGCTCATGCCAGACTAGCGTTAGAATAACCAGAGGACTTTTCTCCACAGTGACCAGCCCAGGATAACTAAATTTGAATGATTGGAATTGGCCTTTGAGAAAGCCTTCCAGCTGATTCCATTGTAGAGTCAGGACTGGGAAGCTGTCCTATCACGGGATTCACCTGTAGACAAGATCCACAATTTCACTGAACGCATAGGCCAGTGGAAGAGCTAGACTTGACCAGGGAGTTGTGTTGAAATGTACTGTGTCCAAGTTGAGGAGAGCATGGCGAGGCAGCACCTGTGAGGAGTGCCAGGGATGGAGACGGCCCCCATGCCCAGGGCGACGGGGGCCTGCAGGAGGAGCGGGCCTGATGGGTGACTGGTGATGGGAGCAGAGCAACGAGCAGAAGCAGCAAAGGCCCCGAGGCCACACAGTGCCCAGTGTGTTCAGGAAATGGGAGAAGCCTGGAGCCCGGACAAACAGAGAAAATCAGCTTGATCTGAAGCTGCCCCAGAGCCATGGAATGAAGAATGTCTGTGCTGGAAAGCCACAGAAACAGGCTTGGTGCATATACCGAGGACAAGATAAGCAGGGTCCCCATTAGAAGCCACAGAAACAGGCTTGGTGCATATACCGAGGACAAGATAAGCAGGGTCCCCATTAGAATGCAACAGCTGTTGTCCATGGAAGTAACCTTGATGCCTGCACTATTTTAATTTCAGCATGAATAAAAAGTCAGTTAATGGTACTTATTTAGAAAATAAGGTATCAGGCTGGTTGTGGTGGCTCAAGCCTGTAATCCCAGCATTTTGGGAGGCCAAGGTGGGTGGATCACCTGAGGCCGGGAGTTCAAGACCAGCCTAGCCAACATGGTGAAACCCTTCTCTACTAGAAATATGAAAATAAGCCAGGTGTGGTGGCACGCGCCTGTCATCCCAGCTACTTGGGAGGCTGAGGCAGGAGAATTGCTTGAAGCCAGGAGGCAGAGGTTGCATCACTGTACTCCAGCTTGGGTGAGAGAGTGAGACTCTATCAGAAAAAAAAAAAGAAGGAAAGAAAATAGGCTATCAGTAATTTCTGATTGAGAAGAAGCTGTCACTGAGAAGATAAAGAATTCAGGAATTATTTCTGCATTTCTGTTTTTGAAACAGCCTGGATACAGTTGCCATTTATAGCAGGGCAGAAACCCTGAAGATGAGTTGAATGGGAGGTGATGCTGGGGGTGAACACGCTGAGTGCAGGCTCCTGCTAGATGCAGGGCTGAGGTGCCTAAAGTTTCTATTTGCCTCCAGCAAGACAGAGGGCTCGAGCCTGGGGAAGAAGACGGTGTTCATTAACATTTGGGGGAGAGGAAGGAATAACTTGGTCAGATTTTTGTCTCAGATGGTCCCTGAGGCAGAGTGGGGGTGTATTGGACAGGCCCAAAGTGGGAAGCACAGAGAAGAGTTTCCTGACCATATGGGCATCAGGAAATGGAGGCCTGAAATCTGTCTGTGGAAATGAAGAGATGGTGGTATTTTTAGATGACATGGAAAGAAGCAAAGATTAGTCTTAAGCCACATGGAGTTTGTTCTGACTTAAGGTACCACTAGGCCCAGCATGGTGGCTCACACCTGCAGTCTCAGCACTTTGGGAGGCCGAGGCAGGAGGATTGCTTGAAATGAAGAGTTCACAACCAGCCTGAGCAACGTAGTGAGACCCTGTCTCTACAAAAAAAAAAAAAAAAAAAAAAGGCCAAGCATGGTGGCACAAGCACCTGCAGTAATCCTAGCTACCTGCGAGGCTGAGGCAGTAGGATCACTTCAGCCCAGGAGTTTGAGGCTGCAGTGAGCCATGATCACGCCACTGCACCCCAGCCTGGGCAGCAGAGCAAGACCCTACCTCTAAAAATAAAAAATGGGTAGAAATAAAGTACCATTCACTGTAAAGCCCCCTTCCCTGTCTTCTCAGACGCTATCATGAGCTAAAAGCTGTGAATCTTAGGATTGTGCTGAGTAGAGTGGAATCAAGCCCAAGAGTTAAGATTTGTTCTGAGGGCATCCCTAATCCTGGACTGCATCTGAGATTCTGAAGCCAAAAAGCAACCTAGGAGTTGCTTCCCTCACATGCTGGGCACTCAGCACACTCCTTCTCCGTCCCCACCGTCACTTACTTGCCCAAACTATTAACCACCCTCCAATATCCCTCTGCTTCCTCATTTCTGTATATGTAAATCTCAAGTCTGTCCTCTTGTAAAGCGAAAGCTCTGTTCGCCTCTCTCTTCCCTACCCTAAACTCCTTTTTAATCTGAGCTTCTCATAGAGGGTCCCACATCCATAACTGCCATCCATGCCATCCATTCACCCTCAACCAGCTGAAGCCTAGTCTCTTCCCCTAATCCTTACATCGCAATTAATCCTCAGAGGTCAAACCCTAAGGACAAAGCTGACCATTCAGCACGAACTCAGGGGGAAGGGGTAATTTATCTATAGGAATGTAACAACCCATCCCTTTGCATCTGGAGATGCTGGTCTCAGAGACCCTTAGAACCCCTGCCGAGTTGATCTCCAATTTCCCTGTTGCAGTTATTCAATCAAATTCTAGTCTGGATGAAGGGATTTTGTGGATGTGATTAAAGTACTAAATTAGTTTATCTTTAGTTAATCCAAAGTCTCCAGGTTGGGTGGGTCTGACCCAATCACATTTAAGATATTTAAACATGTCCGATCTGCATTGGCTTCAGAGACCTCCAGAAGCCGACAGAAGCAAGCACATTTCCACACTCGGGTTCCTCCTGACTCTCCTAGGTTCCACTAGAGGAGAGTAAGTGCCAGTGTTCCGCCAACTCAGGAACTGACCAGACCCTGCAGGCACAGTGAGAAGACTCCCGGGAGAAAACTCAGGAGTAAAAATGGAGGCAAGTTGAAGGGCGCCCGCTTGCTGTTTCGTGGGAGGATGGCTGGGGTTGGCTTTCATTTCATTTCACAAGAATTTTTGCAGCCATTGAAATGTGTGCTGTTCCTTTTTATTTTTATTTATTTATATTTTTGAGACGGAGTCTCGCTCTGTCGCCCAGGCTGGAGTGCAGGGGCGCGATCCCGGCTCACTGCAACCTCCGCCTCCCGGGTTCAGGCCATTCTCCTGCCTCAGCCTCCCGAGTAGCTGGGACTACAGGCGCCCGCCACCACGCCCGGCTAATTTTTTGTATTTTTAGTAGAGACGGGGTTTCACCGTGTTAGCCAGGATGGTCTCGATCTCCTGACCTCGTGATCCGCCCGCCTCGGCCTCCCAAAGTGCTGGGATTACAGGCGTGAGCCACCTTATCCTCTAAGGCACCCGCTTCCTCTGTATGTTCAGCCACAGGCAGCCTTTGGAATTAGATTGATGCTTTGGGGGATCGTTTTGAATCTTTGTTAGTTGGTATGGGAAGAAACTTCAGTCTGTGGGTAATTTGACCCCACTGCTGAGGCGCTACTCTCCTAGCACTCTCTTCAAAGCCCCTTGGACTAGGCAGACTTTTTACTCCAGCTGCGGAGACTCAGATTCTTCACCGCCCAGAGTGACCCCAGGAACTTTCCAGCCTGCTCCTTTCTCGCGGTGTTTTCCCAGCCCAGGCAGTTTCCTCTCATTCATGCTCTGATCTGCTTGGACAGGGGACTTCCCAGTAGATCCACAGAGCTCTCTCTGCTTCCCTCTCTCCACCCTCTCCCCAGTACTGCTTCTGTGTCCTGTACTTGCCACTGTGAGGTCCAGCAGACTCTCCCCAAGTTCTCAACTCAGGAGAACACACGCTCTGCTTGATTTCCCTCTCCCTGCTCCCAGCCTGGAAATTCCGTGCGGGTTTGAGCTGGGTACTTGCAGGAGCCCCAACCCTTGTTTCCTGCCTTCACTCCACTGTCCCACGCGCCCTTGTCCAGTGTCTAAAACCACTGGGTTCATATCGTTCATCTGGCAGTTTACTTTTTAAATACAAGGGGGGCTGGTCGCAGTGGCTCACGCCTGTAATCCCAGCACTTTGGGAGTCCAAGACAGGCGGATCACTTGAGGTCAGGGGTTTGAGACCAGCCTGACTAACGAGGTGAAACAACGTCTCTACTAAAAAAACACCAAATATTAGCCAGGTGTGGTGGTGCGTGCCTGTAATCCCAGCTACTTGGGAGGCTGAAGCAGGAGAATCACTTGAACCCAGGAGGCAGAAGTTGCAGTGAGCTGAGATCGTGCCACTGCACTCCAGCCTGGCGACAGAGCAAGACTCTGTCTCAAAAAAAAAGAGAGAGAGAGAGAGAGATTCTAATATGTATTTATCTTTTTTTTTTATTAGATAGTAATACTTCCCACTGAAACTACCATAAACATCCAGAAAATGGAGCAGGAAAACACAGCCCAGGGATCAGAAAAGCCCTCAGGTACAGTGTCCTCAGAGTCTTACATGTAGTAGAGAAAATTTTCCAGCCCACCTCCATCTTCTCGAGTCTGATACGCTCATCCAAGCCCCAAGAGGGGGCATCTCAGGGGATTCCAGGGCTGCCCTCAGCATCCCCTAAGCTCCCTGCCCACAGCTCAGGTGACAGTAAAAGGCCCCACAGGGATGGGATGTGAGTCCCACATCAGGGGAGCACTCTCAGGCAGCAAATATGCCATCACACCCTGTCAGTAGCCTCTGAAACATTTTAAGGAACTTGAGCAAGACCCAGGCTCTCAGATGTTTCCTTGCCTGTCCCAGTGACTGGATGTGTCAGGCGTCAGGACTCAGGCAGATGCTGAATCTCTCACTTCTCATTTAAGGTCCTATTATCTCCCATAACTGAATAAAGTCAAGTTTGGACCTGTCCATGTAGAGGCAGGATCCTGCACATGTGCAGGTGAGTTATGCCAAGTACATCCATATTCCTCTTTCCTTCCAGTCCAGTCAGTTAAACCTTGGAGTGACCAGGAAATCCGGAGTTTCCTGCAAGAATGGGAATTTCTTGAACGTGAGGTGTACAGGGTGAAGAAGAAGTATCACATAGTATCAAAAGCAATTGCTCAGCGTCTCAAGCAGAGGGGTATCAACAAGAGCTGGAAGGAATGTCTCCAGATGCTAATAAGCTTGCAGGACTTATACTTCACTATTCAGGAGGCCAACCAGAGGCCAAGGTGCCAACCCTTGCCATGTCCTTATGGTGAGGCCCTGCACAGGATTCTGGGGTACAGATGGAAGATCAGCGTCTTCTCAGGTTTGTGTCTTTTGTGTTCATCTCCATGGTCTAGTGAGTGCCATTGTCTTCCCCCACCCCACCCCCACCATCCTTGTGCCCTGAGTAGAGCAAAGAATGATGGGACAGGCCCCTGCCCAGAGTCCCTCGACACACAGCACAGGGGACTTGCTGCTCTGATGGGCTGCCTGCCTCTATTTTTCCTTTTTATTCTTCCCCAAAGTAATAATTCTGAGGACTTTGTTCGTGGACTTGTTCAGAATGGACATGGCCCTGGGGCTGGGTGAGGTCACAAGCAAGGATTCAGGTACAGGGTGGGTGATGGCTTCATGAGCCCTCCATGTGTCTTCTCTCTCTCAGGTCCTCCCTGTGCAGATGTGGTTAACCTCGCACCTCCCGAGCACCCGCCCCAGGCCTATGGCGTTCCCATAGTCTTTCAGGAGCCGATGTGGGCCCCAACACCTGTGATCTATGTGGAAAATCCTCAGGTACCCGGATGGGAGCCCTGGAACATGAATGGTCATGTTCCATATATGTATCCTGCTTTGCCTCCGGCAGCCCCAGGCCCCCTGACACAGTGGGCCATCTCTACTGACTGATCCAGGTCTTGAAGACATTTAGAATCTGGATCCTGATTCATCAGAAAGACTGAAAAACAGCACAATCTGTGTGTGTTAGTGAATGACTCCTTCCTCTCCTCACCTGGTGCAATGAGAATAAATGTGAAATAAATGAATGACCGTGACCTCATCCCTTTCTGGCTTGTGCTTGTGGCTTGGGTTGAACCTTTAATTGTAGAAAGACCATGGGACAGGGAGGGAGCTCAGCCCCCCAGTGATCTTGGACCCGTCCTTTCATTCCTGCATCATGCTTCCTGCATGGAAGCTCCTTTGTAGTAAGGGATAACTTTTACCCCAGAGGTAACTGCTCAATCCTGCCTTCATTTCCTGGCTGTGTGATCATAGAATCTTTTTTTTTTTTTTTTTTTTTTTGAGATGGAGTCTCACTTGGTTGCCCAGGCTGGAGTGCAGTGGCATGATCTCGGCTCACTGCAACCTCTGCCTCCTGGATTCAAGCAATTCTCTGCCTCAGCCTCCTGAATAGCTGGGATTACAGGCGCCCGCCACCATGCCCAGCTAATTTTTGTATTTTTAGTAGAAATGGAGTTTCACCATCTTGGACAGGCTGGTCTTGAACTCCTGACCTCAGGTGATCCACTCGCCTTGGCCTCCCAAAGTGCTGGGATTACAGGCGTGAGCCACTGCGCCCAGCCAGAACTTTTATTTCATGTTTCTGAGCCTCCAGATCCTCGTATTAAAATTAAAGCTGATATCTTACTTCAGGAGATAGTTTTTGGATAAAAACACAGGTGGCATAATCACTGTGTGTTAAGTTCATTTTTCCACATTTGTGGGTGGTCTCATTGAGAGGTGAATCCAGCTGGGCTTCTGGGTCGGGTGGGGACTTGGAGAACTTTTCTGACTAGCTAGAGGATTGTAAATGCACCAATCAGCACTCTGTGTCTAGCTAGAGGATTGTAAATGCACCAATCAGCATTCTATAAAAATGGACCAATCAGCACTCTGTAAAATAGACCAATCAGCAGGACATGGGCAGGGGCAAATAAGGGAATAAAAGCTGGCCACCAGCGCCAGCAGATGCAAGGTGCTCAGGTCCTCTTTCGTGCTGTGGGAGGTTTGTTCTTTCTTTGCTCTTCACAATAAATTCTTGCTGCTGCTCACCCTTTGGGTCTGCACCACCTTTAAGAGCTATAACACCCGCGGTGAAGGTACGTGGCTTCATTGTTGAAGTCAGTGAGACCAAGAACCCACTGGAAGGCAGAAACTCCGGACATATCTGAAGGAACAGACTCCGGCCACACTATCTTTAAGAGCTGTGACACTCACCGCGAAGGTACATGGCTTCATTCTTGAAGTCAGTGAGACCAAGAACCCACCAGAAAGAATAAATTCCGGACACATTATTATATTTTTTTGAGACGGAGTCTCACTATTGTCCCAGCTTGGAGTATGGTGGCACAATCTTGGCTCACCATAACCTCCGCCACCTGGGTTCAAGCAATTCTCCTGCCTCAGCCTCTCAAGTAGCTGGGATTACAGGCGTGCGCCACCATGTCTGGTTAATTTTTTTGTATTTTTTAGTAGAGACGGGGTTTCTCTATGTTGGTCAGGCTGGTCTCAAACTCCCGACCTCAGGTGATCCGCCCGCCTCAGCCTCCCAAAGTGCTGGGATTACCGACGTGAGCTACGAACCCAGCCCGTGGTCTTATTTTTTAAGGAAACATTATTTTGAGATAATTATAGTTCTACATGCTGTTGTAACAAGTAGTACAGAGGGACTCTAGAGAGATCCCTTAGGCCCTATGTCCGGGTCCCCCCAGCTGTAACAGCTCAGAAAACACAGTATCATAACCAGGATATTGACATCGATACAGTCAAGAGAGTCACCAGAAGAAACCCTCTCACTGCCCTTTATGAGGGACATGCACGTCCCTCCCGCCCTCAGCCCCTCCTTAACTCCTGGCAACCGCTGAAATACACTTCCTTTTTATAAGTTTGTTATTTCAACAATGTTATATAAATGGAATTGTACGGTATGTAGCCTTTTGGGAATAGCTTTTTTCAGTTACTCATTAGAGATTCCTCCAGGTTGTTGCATGGATCAATTGTTAATTCCTTTTTCTTGCCATGTAGTGTTCCACTGGGTGGATGTAGAAGAAGCTGTTGAACCCTTCGCCCAGTGGATGACATCCGGGATGTTTCCAGTTTGGACTATTGTGAGTAAAGCTGTTATAATCCTCCAGATACAGGTTTTGTGTAAACACAAGACTTCCTTTGGGATAAATACCCAGGGGTACAATTTCTGGGTGTATAATAATTGCATGTTTAATTTTTTTTTTTTTTTTTTGAGATGGAGTCTTGCTCTGTCATCCAGGCTAGAGTGCAGCGGTGCAATCTCAGCTCACTGCAACCTCTGTCCCTGGGTTTCAAGCAACTCTCCTGCCTCAGCCTCCCCAATAGCTGGGATTACAGGCGCCTGCCACCATGCCTAGCTAATTTTTGTATTTTTAGTAGAGAGAGGGTTTCACCATATTGGCCAGGCTTGTCTCGAACTCTTGAGCTCAGGTGGTCCACCCACCTCGGCCTCCCAAAGTGCTGGGATTACAGGCATGAGCCACAGCGCCTGGCCTAATTTTTTTTTTTTTTTTTTTTTTAGAAACTGCCAAACTCTTTACCAGATGGCCGTGTCATTCTACATCCCCACCAGCAATGTATGAGTGAACCAGTTTCTCCATATCCTCACCAGCATTTTGTTTTGTCACTATTCATTAAAAGGCGAATAGAATGGCCTTCAGAGTGTCCATCGCAGAGGGCCTTAGCAGAGCTTAGAATGATGGGACTGGCCTCTGCCCAGGGCCCCTCTGCACAGCATGACAAAGCGGTGATATCTACTTATGGCTTCCATTTTCAGTTCCCTGGCGGCTGATGATACGGAGCATGTTGTATGCCTATTTGCCATCTGCATATCCTCTGCAGTGACATGGCTCTTCATGGTTTTGGCCATTTTCTAATTGGATTTTTGTTTTTACTGTTATTATTTGAGAGTTTTTTAAAATATATTCTAGATATTCGTTTTATGGGATATGGGTGTTGCAGATACTTTCTCCCTGTTTGTAGCTTGTCTTTTCATGCCCTTCTTATGGGCTTTCACAGAGAAAAGACTTTGTGAGGTACAATTTACCAACATTTTAATGGGTAGTGCTTTGGGTGTCAAATCTAAGAACCCTTTGGTTAGTCCTAGATCCTGAAGACTTTTTCCTATATTTTTCTTTTTCTTTTTCTTTTCTTTCTTTTTTTTTTTTTTTTTTGAGATGGAGTCTTGCTCTGTCTCCCAGGCTGGAGTGGTGCAGTGGCATGATCTTGGCTCACTGCAAGCTCCGCCTCCTGGGTTCACGCCATTCTCCTGCCTCAGCCTCCCGAGTAGCTGGGACTACAGGCGCCCGCCACCACGCCTGGCTAATTTTTTGTATTTTTAGTAGAGACGGGGTTTCGCCGTGTTAGCCTGGATGGTCTTGACCTCCTGACCTCGTGATCCACCTGCCTCGGCCTCCCAAAGTGCTGGGATTACAGGCTTGAGCCACTGTGCCCGGCTGACTTTTTCCTATATTTTTCTTAAAGTTTTATAGTTTTACATTTTGCATTTAAGTCCCTGGTACATTTGAGTTAAATTGTGATTAAGGTTTGTGAAGTTTAGGTTAAGGTTCATTTTGTGTGTATGTGCCTGTGAATGTCCAGTTGCTCTTCTCTGAAGAGGCTATCTTTTCTGCGTTGAATTTCTTTTGCATTTTTGTGACAAATTAGGTGGGCATATTTGTGTGGTTCTTGTCATGGGTTCTCTACCTTGTTCCATTGGTCTGCACTCTGCTAATATCACACACCCTTGTTTACTATAGCTGTATAAGTTATTAAATCATATAAATTAATTCTTCCTACTTTGTTCTTTGATTGATTTTTCAAACATTGAACCAGCCTCATATCTCTGGAGTACATCAATTGTCCATCATATAATTTTTTCATCTATTATTGATGTATTAGTAATGTTTTATTAATGATTTCTGCATCAGTATTCAAGAAAGATGCTGTTTTACAGTTTTGTTGTACTGTCTTTTTCTGGTTTTGGTATCAGGATAATACTAGCTTCATAAAGTCCATTTGCAAGTGAAATAAGCTAGCCACAGGAAGATAAATACTGCATGCTCTCACTTATATGTGGAATCTAAAATAGTCAGACTCATAGAAGAGAGTAGAATGGTGGTTTCCAGGGCTGGAGGGAGGGAGAAGTGGGGGGATGGGGGGATGCTGGTCATGAGTGTAAATTTCCGGTTACTCAAGATGAGTAAGTTCTGGAGATGGAATGTACAGCATGGTGACTATAGTTAACACTATTGTATTTTATACCTGAAATTTGTTTAGAGGGTAGATCTTAAGTGTTCTCATCTTACACACACACACAAAGGTTAACTATGTGAGGCGATAAATATGTTAACTGACTTGACTATGGTGCTCATTGCACAATATATACATATATAAAAAATCAAGTTTTAAAATCGATACCTTTTTTTGAGACGCAGTCTCGCTCTGTCACCCAGGCTGGAGTGCAGTGGCGCGATCTCGGCTCACTGCAAGCTCTGCCTCCTGGGTTCACACTGTGACATGGGGCTGGAGAGTTGATCTAAACTGAGGGAGGACAGTGAAGGTGTCCCTGGCCAGCTGAAGGCAAACTGCTTCAGGTGGGCCTTCTGGACAGGGATGGAGAAAAAGGTGTGTGTCAGATCAATAGTTACATACCATGTACCAGGATATGTGTTAATTTGCTCAAGCAATGAAACAGCATCTGGTACAGCAACTGCAATTAGAGTTATCACTTGGTTAAGCTTCTGGGAATCCACCATCATTCTCCAGGATTCATCTGTCTTCTGCACAGGCCAGGAGAGTTGGACAAGGATGTGGGGTAGGAATCACCACCCCTCCATACTTCAAGTCTTTGATGATGGCACTCATCTATATCATTCCTCCAGGAAGGCAGTATTGGTGTGTTTTTTGTTTTAGTATTTTTCTAGGTAGAGATGGCTGTAACGCCTTCCATTTGTCCTTTCCCATCACAATTGCCCTCACTTTATAGCTCAGGGAACCCGTGTGGAAACTCTGCTAGCTGCTGAACACGTCTGTTCCAACTACACATCTGGACCCGGGAAATGACCAGAGAATGGGTTCCGGGACCCGCTGGGCCCACGGTGAGTTGGACCTGAGTTAAAGCTCCTGGTACCAAGATATGGAAAAACCTCTTTGACTGTCTTATTTCACTGGAAAACAGTATGGAGTTTACTCAAAAAAATTAAAAATAGAACTACCACATAATTCAACAGTGCCACTTCTGGGTATGTATCCAGGATCTGGAAGAGAGATCTGCATCTCACGTTCATTGCAGCACTATTCACAGTAGCAAAGATACGGAAACAATCTAAGTGTCCACTGACAGGTGAATGGATAAAAAGAAAACTTGACACACATACACACACAGCGGAATATTATTCAGCCACTTTAAAAAAGAAGTCCTGCCTATCAACAACATAAATGAACCTAGAGGGCACTATACTCAGTGAAGTGTGACAGAGACAGACAAATACTGTATGGTATCACTTATATATGGAATCTAAAAAGAAGAAACATTTCCAACTCATAGAAGCAGAGAGCAGAGCAACCTGGTGGTTGCCGGGAAGGGAGGTGGGGGAGGAAATGGAGAGATCTTGATCAAAGTGTACAAACTTTCAGTTATAAGATGAAGGAATTCTAAAGATCTAATGTACAGCACGGTGAGCATAGTTAATAATACTATATTTTATACTGAAGCTTGCTAAGAGAGTAGATCTGAAGTGTTCTCACCGAAAAAGGGAGGGGGTAAGTGTGGGAAGTATTGGGTAAGTGCTGTGGTTTGGATATTTGCCTCCAAATCTCATAATGTGAAATGCAATCCCCAGTGTTGAAGGTAAGGGCTAGTAGGTGTTTGGGTCATGGGCGTGGATCCCTCATTAATGGCTTGGTGCTGTCCTTGAGGTCATGAGTGAGTTCTTACTCTATTAGTTACCAAGAGATCTGATTGTTTAAAAGGGCCTGGCATCTCTCTCTTGCCTCCTCTCTTGCCATGTGACATGCCTGCTCCCTTTTTGCCTTCCACCAACAGTAAAGCCTTCCTGAGGCCTCCCCGGACTCCCAGCAGTTACTGGTGCCGTGTTAGTGCAGGCTGCAGAACTGTGGGCCAAATAACCTGTTTTCTGTATAAATTACCCATCCTCAGGTATTCCTTTACAGCCATGCGAAACAGACTAATGCAGCATGCTAATTAACTTTATCATGGTAATAACTTTATTTTATTATTTATTTACTTAGAGTCTCATTTTGTCACCCACGCTGGAGTGCAGTGGCACCATCTCAGCTAACTGCAACTTCTGCCTCCCAGGTTCAAGCAATTCTCCCATCTCAGCTTCCTGAGTAGTAGCTGGGATTAAAGGCACATGCCACCACACCTGGCTAATTTTTTGTATTTTTTTGGAGAGATGGGGTTTCGCTGTGTTGCCCAGGCTGATCTCAAACTCCTGGCCTCAAGTAATCCTCCCGCTGTGGCCTCCCAAAGTGCCGGGATTACAGGTGTGAGCCACCAGGGCTGGCCAGGGTAATCATTTTAAAGTGTTAACATATGTGAAATCATCAGTTGTACACCTTAAATAGATACAATTTTCTGTCAATTATGCCTCAATAAATTGAAGAAAATAATTTTTTTCTGGATATATTTTCTGAAAACTAAAGTGATTTAAGTTACATAAACAGAAAATAGTATCAAACTGAAAATAGACCCAAATTTTAACAGTTTTTATTTTACTAGAAATAATACTCTTTAGTTTTTCATTTTGTTTTTATATGATCATATATTTCTTTCTTTTCTTTTTTTTTGAGACAAAGTCTCGCTCTGTCACCCAGGCTGGAGTGCAGTGGCGCGATCTCAGCTCACTGCAAGCTCCTCCCACGTTCACGCCATTCTCCTGCCTCAGTCTCCCGAGTAGCTGGGACTACAGGCGCCTGCCACCATGCCCGGCTAATTTTTTGTATTTTTAGTAGAGACGGGGCTTCACCATGTTAGCCAGGATGGTCTCTATCTCCTGACCTCATGATCTGCCCGCCTTGGCCTCCCAAAGTGCTGGGATTACAGGTGTGAGCCACCGTGCCCGTCCATAATCATATATTTCTATCAAAGTAGAGGGAAATCCGGCCAGGTGCGGTGGCTCATACCTGTAATCCAAGCACTTTGGAAGGGCGAGGCAGGAGGATTAACTTGAGCTCAGGAATTCAAGACCAGCCTGGGCAACATGGTGAAACCCCGTCTCTTCTAAAAAATAAAAAAATTTAGCCAGGCGTGGTGGCGGGCACCTGTAATCCCAGTTACTCTGGAGGCAGAGGCGGGAGAATCGCTTGAAACCGGGAGGCGGAGGTTGCAGTGAGCTGAGATCAGGCCACTGCACTCCAGCCTGGGTGACAGAGAGTGAGAGCTTGTCTCAAAAAAAAAAAAAAAAATGTTGAGGGAAATCAAATATACTCAAAACCTTCTCTTGTAGCAGAGTTCATGAGAGGAAAAAAAAGAAAAAGAAATTTTTTTTTGCACAGAGTCTTGCTCTATCACCCAGGCTGGAGTGCAGTGGGGCGATCTCGGCTCACTGCAAGCTCCTCCTCCTGGGTTCACGCCATGCTCCTGCCTCAGCCTCCCGAGTAGCTGGGACTACAGGCGCCCGCCACCACGCCCGGCTAATTTTTTTGTATTTTTAGTAGAGACGGGGTTTCACCGTGTTCGCCAGGATGGTCTCGATCTCCTGACCTCGTGATCTGCCTGCCTCGGCCTCCCAAAGTGCTGGGATTACAGGCATGAGCCACTGCGCCTGGCCCAGAAAATGAAAAATTTTAAAAATTATCCTAGAAATTGTCAAATAGCTGATTTCAGACCAATTATCTTGCTAAAGAAACGTAGAAAAGTCAGTCAAAACAGAAAACATATATTTTTGAAGGAATTAAGGAGCTCTTAAGGCAGCCAAGACGTTGATGGGGCTTCTTTTTTTTTTTTTTTTGAGATGGAGTTTCGAGCCCAGACTGTAGTGCAGTGGCGTGATCTCAGCTCACTGCAACCTCCCTCCGCCTCCCAGGTTCAAGCGATTCTCCTGCCTCAGCCTCCGGAGTAGCTGGGATTACAGGCATGCACCACCATGCCCGGCTAATTTTGTATTTTCAGTAGAGACGGGGTTTCACCGTGTTAGCCAGGATGGTCTCGATCTCCTGACCTCGTGATCTGCCCGCCTCGGCCTCCCAGAGTGCTGGGATTACAGGCGTGAGCCGCCGCGCCCGGTCACGTGATGGGGCTTCCATCACAGACAGGAGGGAAGCCCTGAGAAGCCAGCCTGGCCTTTGGAGTGACTTCTCCCCTGTGAATATTTGCCGCTTGGAAAGCAGGAGCTGAGAGGCAGAAAATCTGTGCACAGTAGAGACAAAAGCCGGAGTTCAGGGGCCGATAACACCGCAGGTATTTAGCTGTGAGCCTTGTAGGTTTACACCCTAGCAGCAGGGCTGAGCTTGACATACAGTGAAGACCAATTTGGATCCAGCTCAATGAGTGATTGGATTAAGGTGGGCTACCTCTTGCCTATGTAGATAATTAACTAAATGTAAATGGACTGGGTATTCTTGGAAAGAGAAACTTTCAACTACATGCATATAGTAAGAAAATATATATGTGGCCTCTGCCCCAGTGTCCTGACGCACAACTTCTAAAGCCCTCGGAATCTCCAAAGCAATTTTGTATGCTAATGACATGACGGGTGGCTTGGGGCTCCTGGACGGCCTCAGGACAGGGGCTGATTGCCAAGGGAACCAACCTGGTGATTAGAGATTTGGAACTTTTTGGCCCATTCCCCAATCTCCAGGGAGCAGAGTTAATTACCAACAACCAATGATTTAATCAATCCTGCCAATATAATGAAGCTGTCATAGAAATCCTAAATGATAGGGCGTGGAGAGCTTCTGCTGGCTCCCCTCCGTCACCGACTTGCAGACTCCCAAGGAGGGAGAAGTATGCATCCCCGACCCATTGGCTTTGAGTTTGGCCACGAGACTTGGTTTGCCCAATGACTAGTAAGCAGATGTTATAGTCACTACTTCTGAAGAGAAGCTTTAAGAGCCAACGCCGTTGCTGCTTTCTCTCTGCCAGAGAATGACAGTTTGCTCATTCAGCGCAGGTACTGGAATACCTCAGACTGGGGTAAAGAAGACATGTGTGTTACACAGGAACGGAGCTGCAGCTCACAAGTAGCAGGTAAGAGAAATAAAACCTGTCTAACGTAAGCTGCTTAGACTCGGGACCGTTTGTGATTGCCGCAAAGCTAACTGATAGAACTTGCATGCAGTAATATGCAAACATAAGGCATTGCCTTTGGGTCCAGACAGCAGGTGGCTAAGAAACCTATTGGATGATATCAAGTTGACAACCCATGTCGTGTAGTGGGAAACCTTTTTGTAAAACTGTATCCTGCAATATTATAGAAGGCATGGACCTAAAAAGTTAGCTTTAAGTAAAGAGGCTGAGAAATACATGATTACTGGTGTGGTTTATTTATTTGTTTATTTATTTATTTATTTATTTATTTTTGAGACAGAGTCTGGCTTCATTGCCCAGGCTGGAGTGCAGAGGCACCATCTAGGGTCACTGTACCCTCCGCCTCCCTGGTTCAAGTTCAAGTCATTCTCCTGCCTCAGCCTCCCAAGTAGCTGGGACTACATGTGTGCGTCACCATGCCTGGCTAATTTTTTGTATTTTTAGTGGAGATGGGGTTTCACCATGTTGGCCAGGCTGGTCTTGGACTGCTGACCTCAGGTGATCTGCCCGCCTCGGCCTCCCAAAGTGCTAGGATTATAGGCGTGAGCCACCAAGCCTGGCCTTGTGTGGTTTATTTATTAGTTGGTTCTGCATTTGACAAGGAACTCTGAAGGAAAGATGAATCCAAAAAAATTTAGCAAGCAGGGATTAAAAAGAAATGAGAAGACCCAAATAATCTAGGACTGGCAAGTGTGAAAGATTCAAATGTTTCTCATTGTATAATATGTTTCTCAACTATGTAAGATAAAGCTGAAAATCTTTGCACGAAAAAGGCTAAACCACAATCATTAAGATGGACAAAATGATTCACTGGAAAGAAGCTAGGTCTGTAATCCCTCAGAAGTTTCTTAACCTCAAAGTATTAATACTAGCTGACATGGAAAATGAGCAATGAATCTTAGCTTTGAGATTTGGGGGATCTGATGAGCATAACCTAATCAAGGCAATAAAATGGATGAAATCTTTCAACCATTTACTATTCCAAGAGACGATCTTGACGACTTCTTTCTCTTCAGTCCCTCCACACTTCTTTACTGGATTTGGACTCACTTGATAACAGTGTTTTCTACTTCAGTGAAAAAGGGAAGAAATGAAAAGAGAACAAAACAGAATTTCTACAGCTCCTATTACCACATGGACACAAGTACCCACATCCTCATCCTTCCTGTTACCACAGATCTGTGCTCTTCTGTACAGTAACCACTAGCTGCAAATTTAAATTAATTACATTTTATAAAATTTAAAATTCATGTATTAAGTTGCACTGGCCACATTTCAACTGCTTAATCGCCACAGCTGGCTCGTGGTTGCCATATCAGGCAGCACATATACAAAATGTTTTTATCGTCACAGAAAATGTGGTGGAACAGAGCTGCCATTCACTCTCTTATCTAAGGCCACAGGTGCGATAGTTCCCATCCCTCTATCCCACTCAGATACTCTGACCTAGTGAATTTTACCTCTCTCTTCTACCTTGTCCAACTTTTTCCTCTCTATTGATTCATTCCCATTATAAATGTGTTCTAATATTTCCAACTTAAAAATTTTCCCCAGACTTCACTTTACCCTCCAGCTAACACTTCATTTACTCTATTTTGAAAAAAAGAAAAAAAGTCTTTAAAGAATTTTCTAGATTTTCTTTCTTATATATATGTGCTCTTACCTTCCCTTAGACGAAATCCAATCTGGTGTTACTCCCCCACTCCCTTACCCTTAACTGAATCACAATCTATTATTCACAATGTCAAGGGTAAATTTAAAAACAATTATTGAAATATAAAACAGAAAAACATGACCTATTCTAAAGAAAAAAAGATCAAAAATTTTTAAATTATCCAGATGATGGAGTAGCAGATAAGAATTTTTAAGTAGGTATGATAACTAGGATTAAGAAAGTAAATAAAAACATGCTTGTGAACAAATGAAAAACTAGAATATCTCAACAGAGAAAAAGAAACCAGTGTGAAAATGAAACAATGTTTGACTTTAAAAATATACTATCTGGCCGGGCGTGGTGGCTCAGGCCTGTAATCCCAGCACTTTGAGAGGCCGAGGTGGGTGGATCACCTGAGGTAAGGAGTTCGAGACCAGCCTGGCTAACGTGGTGAAACCCCTCTCTACTAAAAATACAAACATTAGCTGGGCGTGGTGGTGCTTGCCTGTAATCCCAGCTACTCAAGAGGCTGAGGCAGGAGAGTTGCTTGAACCCAAGAGACGGAGGTTGCAGTGAGCCGAGATTGATTGTGCCACTGCACTCCAGCCTGGGCGACAGAGTGAGACTCCATCTCAAAAAAAAAAAAAAAATGCAGTATCTGAAAGAAAACTTCACTGGATGGGCTTCACTACAGATTGGAGATGACAGAAGAAAGTGTCAGTAAATTTGAAGACAGATCCAAGGAAATGCTTGTCTGAAGGATAGTGGGAAAGAAAGAAAGGGCTCTGTGGAAAACATAGAGTTTAAAAATCTGTGTAACTGGTGGGTTAGGAGGAGAGAAGAAAAAAAAATTTTAAGAAATAATGCACTCTTTTTTTTTTTTTTGAGAGGGAATCTAACCCTGTCGCCCAGGCTGGAGTGCAGTGGCGTGATCTTGGCTCACTGCAACCTCTGCTTCCCCAGTTCAAGCAATTCTCGGCTTCAGCCACCCAAGTAGTTGGAATTACATGTGCCCACCACCATGCCAAGCTAATTTTTGTATTTTTAGTAGAGACAGGGTTTCACCATCTAGGCCAGGCTGGTCTCGAACTCCCGACCTCATGATCCACCCATCTCAGCCTCCCAACGTGCTGGGATTACGGGTGTGAGCCACCGCACCCAGCTGCACTTGTCTTTTCAGAGGCTGAATACTATTCCATTTTAGGTATACACCGCATTTTCTTTATCTGTGGATTTGGAATACTTAGGTTGTTCCATATCTTGGCTGTCGTGAGTAATGCTGCAATAAACATGAGAATGCAGATATCGCTTCAAGATTCTGATTTCGATTCTTTCGCATATACCCAGAAGTAGGATTGTTGGATCATATGGTAGTTCTATTTTTAATTTTCTTAGTAAACTCATACTGTTTTCCGGTGAAATAAGACAGTCAAAGAGGACAAATACTGCGTGATTCCACTTGTGTGATATATCTAAAATAGTTAAACTCGGCCGGGTGCGGCGGCTCCCGCCTGTAATCCCAGCACTTTGGGAGGCTGAGGCAGGCAGATCACAAGGTCAGGAGTTTGGGACCAGCCTGGCCAACATGGTGAAACCTCATCTCTACTAAAAATACAAAAATTAGGCTGGGTGCAGTGGCTCGTGCCTGTAATTGCAGCACTCTGGGAGGCCGAGGCAAGTGGATCATTTGAGGTCAGGAGTTCAAGACCAACCTGACCAACATGGTAAAATCCCGTCTCTACTAAAAATACAAAAATTAGCTGGGCGTAATGGCAGGTGCGTGTAGTCCCAGCTACTCAGGAGGCTGAGGCTGGAGAATCGCTTGAACCCAGGAGATGGAGGTTGCAGTGGGCCGAGATCACGCCACTGCACTCCAGCCTGGGTGACAGAGCAAGACTCCGTCTTGGGAAAAAAAAAGGCTAAACTCATAGAGACAGAGGGTAGAATGGCGGTTGTCAGGGGCTGGGGGGCGGCGTAAATGGAGGTGTACTGCTCAGCAGGTGTACAGTTTCGGTTATGCCAGATGAGTATGCTCTAGACAGCTGCTGCACGACACCGTGCCTATATTGACAATACTGTGTTGTGGGCTTAAACATTTGTCAGGAAGATAGATTTCATGTTAAATGTTCTTACTACTTTTTTTTTTTTGAGGGGACAGAGTTTTGCTCTTGTTGCCCAGGCTGGAGGGCAAATGGTGCGATCTCGGCTCACCAAAACCTCCGCCTCCCGCCTCCCGGGTTCAAGCGATTCTCCTGCCTCAGCCTCTTGAGTAGATGGGATTACAGGCGTCTGCCACCATGCCAGCTAAATTTTGTATTTTTAGTAGAAACAGTGTTTTGCCAGGTTGGCCAGGCTGGTCTCGAAATCCTGACCTCAGGTGATCCACCCGCCTCGGCCTCCCAAAGTGCTGGGATTACAGGCATGAGCCATGGCACCCGGCCTTTTTATGTTTTATTTTTTTTGAGATGGAGTCTTGCTCTGTCCCAGGCTCAAGTGATCCTCCCGCCTCAGCCCTTCGGAGTAGCTGGGACCAGAAGTGCATGCCACCGGGCCTGGCTAATTTTTTCTTTCTTCTTCTACTTCTTCTTCTTTTTTTTTTTTTGTTTTTTTTGGTATTTTTGGTAGAGATGGAGTTTCGCCATATTGCACAGGCTGGTCTCGAACTTCTGAGCTCAGGCGATCCACCCGCCTCAGCCTCCCAAAGTGCTGGGATTACAGGCATAAGCCCCATGCCTGGCCTTCTTAGTACAATTTTTTAGAAACGAAATGAAACAATGTCCCTAGATTTTTCAATGAATGAAAGCCATAAATTTAGAGAATCACATTACAGGATTAAAGGAAACCTCACTTAGGCACATAATAGTCAACCTACTACAAACCAAAGATAAAGACAAAATGTTGAAATCAGCCAGAGGGAAATGGCACATGTCATACAAGGAAACAATAAATGAAAATTACCACTGACAGTTCTTTATCAGAGGGCAGAAGAGTTGGGTAGACCTCTTTAAAAGAGCAAAACTGTCAATCAGCATTCTATATCTAGTACAATTATTCTTCCAAACTGAAGAGAAAATAAAAATACTTTCAGGTAAAAGAAAACAAAGATGATTTCTTGCCAGTAGAGCTGCATTGTAATAAATGCTAAAGGAGGCTGGGCGTGTTGGCTCACACCTGTAATCTCAGCACTTTGGGAGGCCGAGGCGGGTGGATCACGAGGTCAGGAGATCGAGACCATCCTAGCTAACATGGTGAAACTCCATCTCTACTAAAAATACAAAAAAATTAGCCAGGTGTGGTGGTGGGCGCCTGTAGTCCCAGCTACTCGGGAGGCTGAGGCAGGAGAATGGCGTGAACCCGGGAGGCAGAGCTTGCAGTGAGCCGAGATCACGCCACTGCACTCCAGCCTGGGCGACAGAGCGAGACTCCGTCTCAAAAAATAAATAAATAAATAAATAAATGCTGAAGGAGATATTTTAAGGAAAATGAAAGTAGATGCAACAAAGCACAACAAAACGGTAAATCTATGAGTAGATATTTTTAAATTGTTCTCTTAGTTTATCCAAAATTTATATAAATAAAAAAGTATGGTATTGTATTGTGGTTATACATGTAACTGTGGTAATTTTTTTTTTTTTTTGAGACAGAGTCTTGCTTTGTTGCCCAGGCTGGGGTACAGTGGCGTGATCTTGGCTCACTGTAACCTCTGCCTCCCCAATTCAAGCAATTCTCCTGCCTCAGCCTCCTGAGTAGCTGGGACCACAGGCATGCACCACCATGCCTGGCTAATTTTTTGTATTTTTAGTAGAGCTGGGGTTTCACCATGTTGGCCAGGCTGGTGGTCTCGAACTCTTGACCTCAGGTGACCCACCCACCTCGATCTCCCAAAGTGCTGGGATGACAAGCATGAGCCACCGCACCTGGCCAACTGTGGTATTTATAATAACTATGTTATAAAGGATGGTGGTCAATGGAACTATAGAGCTGTAGGGTCTCTACCTATGATGTGAAGGTGGCATAATGTCAACAGTTATACTAAACGTTCTAATCAGTAGGCACAGATTGCAGTAATGAGTGAAAAAGGAAAGACTCAACCATTAGATGTCTATAAGAAATCTGCTTTAAACATAGGCATAGATATTTGAAAGTAAATGGAAGGAAATCTATAAACCATATAAACATAGCATATAGGCAGGCGTGGTGACTCAGACTGTAACCCCAGCACTTTGGGAAGTTGAGATGGGAGGATCGCTTGAGCCCAGGAGTTTAAGACCCACCTGGGCAACAAAGTAAGACCCCATCTCTACAAAAAATTTTAAAACATTAGCTGGGCGTGGTGGTACATGGCTCTGGTCCTAGCTACTCAGGATGCTGAGGTGGGGGCATTGCTTGAGCCCAGGAGTTTGAGGTCGTAGTGTGCAATACCCATACCTGTAAATAGTCATGGCACTTCAGCCTGGACAACATGGTGAAACCTTGTCTCTACAAAAAATACCAAGATTAGCTGGGCGTGGTGGTAGTGCCTGTAATCCCAGCTACTTGGGAGGCTGAAGTGGGAGGATCGCTTGAGCATGGGAGGTCGAAGCTGCAGTGAGCCGAGATGGTGCCACTGCACTCCAGCTGACAGAGTAAGACCCTGTCTCAAAAAACAAACATAAGCATAATATACCTAATACTAATATCAAATAAATTTTAAGGGCTGGGCACAGTGGCTCATGCCTGTCATCCCAGCACTTTGGGAGGCTGAGGCAGGTGGATCACCTGAGGTTAGGAGTTCGAGACCAGCCTGGCCAATATGGTGAAAGCCCATCTCTACTAAAAATACAAAAATTAGCCGGTCGTGGTGGCGCCTGCCTATAATCCCAGCTACTCAGGAAGCTGAGGCAGGAGAATTGCTTGAACCCGGGAGGTGGAGGTTGCGGTGAGCAGAGATCACACCACTGCACTCCAGCCTGGGCAAGAGAGAGTGAGACTCTGTCTCAAAAAAAAAAAAAAAGGGACTTTCAGATAAAATATGTTGTTAAAGACAAATATTTTATAATTATAAGAGGATCAGTTGACTAGGAAGACGTATCAGTCATAAATATGTATCCATCTAATAACAGAGCTTCAAAACACATGATGAAAATGGAGAAGGTCGAGAGACGAACTTCTGAAATGGCTGAGTTAGGAGCCCCACCAATCATCTCCACAAGAAGCAACAATATAACTAGATAAAATTGGCAAAAACAGCTATTTAAATGCTGAAAATGTACCAAAGGGGAACAACAAATTGAGAATCATTTACTCAAGAAAATCTACTGACGTTTGGTCAGAAGATAGAGAGTCTAGGAGTTCTCCAATCACTGCTCCCCTTCCCCTGTGGTATGGATGTTCTATCCAGCCGCAGGCCAGGTCCTAAGGATCGGGAGCTCTCCTGTCTGTCCATAGCAGAGCATGGAAAATTCAATGCCCAAGGGTGTTGTAAAAAACAATAGGGATCTTAGTGGCAAACAGTCACATAAAGCCAATATTGCAGCTATCCTGAGGTCAAGATATTGGTTGGGACAAGCATCCAAATGGCAGGCCAACCAGGAATTTAACAGGGATAGCCAGTGGACGAGACAGCCAAGGAGGGACGTTTCAGATCCAACTTACCCCGAGGGTCTGGAAAGATGTGTATACACTAAGTCGTGCTAGTTCAGGGCAAGTGAGGGAAGGCCCCAGTGATGGGTAAGTATGGGGTGTTAAAAGAAAAGCTTCAGCCAAATTAATTTAAAGAAGTTTAATTGAGCAATGAACAATTTGTGAATCAGGCAGCCCCAGAATCACAGCAGATTCAGAGAGACTCCAGGGATGCCTTGTGGTCAGAACAAATTTATAGACAAAAAAAAAAGAGAAGTGCTATACAGAAGCCGGCAGTGAGCTACAGAAACAACAGGATTGGTTACAGGCTGGCGTTTGCCTTGTTTGAACACTTAGAAATCAGCAGTGAGGTACAGAAACAACAGGATTGGTTACAGGTTAGCATTTGCCTTGTTTGAACACTTAGCAATCTATGAGTGTTTGAAGTATGACCTCTGGGATTGGCCAAGACCCAGCTACTGTTACAGGAGCATACTCCCAAGTTAGGTTTGCAATCTTGTCTGCCTATTAAGCTAGGTTACAGTTTGTCCACAAGGACTCAAATATAGAGATATGGAGTCCTTCTCAGGCCATATTTAGTTTGCTTTAACAGGAGCCTTTCAAAGAAGAAAAAATAAAAAAATTAAGTACAGATAGCAAATAAGCACATTAAAATATGTTGAATATCATTGGGCATTTGGGAAATGCAAATTGAAACCACAATGAGATATTACTACACACTTATCACAATAAACTAAAATTAAAAAACAAAACACCAAATGCTGGCGAGGATGTGGAAAAGTTGGATCTCTAGTACACACCCGTTGGGAAAGTAAAATGGTGCAGCCAGGCCGGGTGCGGTGGCTCACGCCTGTAACCCCAGCACTTTGGGAGGCTGAGGCGGGTGGATCATGAGGTCAGAAGATCAAGACCATCCTGGCCAACATGGTGAGCCCCGTCTCTACTAGAAATACAAAAATTAGCTGGGTGTGGTGGCACGTGCCTGTAATCCCAGCTACTCGGGAGGCTGAGGCAGGAGAATCACTTGAACCAGGGAGTTGGAGCTTGCAGTGAGCCGAGATCGCGCCACTGCACTCCAGCCTGGTGACAGAGCGAGGCTCCGTCTCAAAAAAAAAAAAAAAAAAGGTGCAGCCACTCTAGAAAAATAGTTTGGCAGTTCCTTATAAAACGAAACATGTATTTCCTATACAACCCAGCAATCACACTGTTGGGCGTTTCTTTGTGAGAGATGACAACTTGTGTTCACATAAAACTTGTACACAAATGTTGATGGCAGCTTTGTTTGTTTAAAAAAAATGAAATAACTTGAAGTCCTTCAATGTGTGTGTGAATGGTTAAACAAACTCTGGCACAACCATAGAGGAGAATACTTCTTAGCGATAAAATGGAATGAACTATTGATGTAATCACCAACCTGGGTGAATCTCAAGGCATTGTACTTACTGAAAAGAGTCAAGCTGAAAAGGTTACAAAGTGTACGAGTCTATTTATATAACATTCTCAAAATGAGGAGCTGTAGAGACGGAGAACAGATGAGTGGTTGCCACAGGACAGGGACTGAGGGAGAGAGAAAAACTGGATAAGATGTCATATAGTTAACAGTATTGTACCAACATCAATTTCCCAAATTGGTTTTGCACTACAGTAATATAAAAATGTCACCATTGAGGGAAGCCGGATGAAGGACACAGAGACATCTATTTATTATTGCAAATTCTTCTGCATCTACAATTACTTTAAAAAAATAAATATTTTTAAATCTCTCCCTGCAAAGGAAAATCCAAGTTGAATGGCTTCACTTGCAAATTCTGCCAAACGTCTGAAGAAAAAATATCAATCCCTTTGCAAACCTGTCCAGAAAACAAAGAACAGAACATGTGTCAACTTGTTCTATGAGACCAGTACTACCTAGTACAAAGCCAGACAAAGACATCACAAGAAAACTATGCTAAAGATTAATATCCCTCATGAATCTACAAAAATTCTCAACAAAATACTATCAACCGGAACCTACCAACATATAAAGAGGGTGATTCACCGTGACCAACTGAAATTTATCCCTTGTATACAAGGTGGGCTTAACCCTCAAACATCAATTAATGTAATGTATCATATTAATGGAATAAAGAAAATAAACCCATGATCATCTTAATAAAAACAGGAAAATAATGGACAAAATCCAACAGCCATTTATAATTAAAAACTCTAAACAAATCAAGAATAGAAGAGAACTTATTGGCCAGGCGCGGTGGCTCACGCCTGTAATCCCAGCACTTTGGGAGGCCGAGGCAGGCGGATCACGAGGTCAGGAGATCGAGTCCATCCTGGCCAACACGGTGAAACCCCGTCGCTACTAAAAATACAAAAAATTAGCCTGTAGTCCCAGCTACTTGGGAGGCTGAGGCAGGAGAATCGCTTGAACCCAGGAGGCAGAGCTTGCAGTGAGCCGAGATCTCGCCACTGCACTCCAGCCTGGGCGACAGAGCGAGACTCCGTCTCAAAAAAATAAAATAAAATAAAATAAATAAAAAAAGAAGAGAACTTCTTTAACTTAAAAGGGGACATATACCAAAAAACCAGCAGCTGATATCATACTGAATGATGAAAGACAATTCCTTCCTCGTGAGGAAAAGTATCTGTTCTTACCACTTTTATGCAACATTGTACTAAAACTTCTAGCCAGTGAATCAAGTGAGAAAAAAAATATTTAAAAAGAAAAGGAAGAAGTAAAACTACCTTTATTTACAGACAACATGATCATGTATATAGAAATCCTAAGGAATCCACCCGAAAACATTAGAACTATAAATGAGTTTAGCAAGTGTTTTGAGTTGAAGTGTGTCCCTACCCCGCACCCCGCCCCAAATGCCCTGCCACCCCAGTACCTCAGAATGTGAACTTACTTGGAAATCATGTCATTAATTAAGACCGGATCATACTGGAGTAGGGCGGGCCCTTAATTCAGTATGGCTCCTTATAAGAGGAGAAGAGATCTCAGCTCGCTGCAACCTCCACTTCCCGGGTTCGAGTGATTCTCCTGCCTCAGCCTCCCAAGTATCTGGGATTACAGGCGCCCACCACGCCTGGCTAATTTTTTGTATTGTTAGTAGAGACAGTTTCACCATGTTGGCCAGGCTGGTCTCGAACTCCTGGCCTCAGGCAATCCTCCCGCCTTGCACCCCAAAGTGCTGGGATTACAGGTGTGAGCCAAGGTGCCCAGCCTTAACAGATTTCAAAAGATTGAAATCCTACAGAATATGCCTCCGACTAGACATTATTCAATTAAAATAAAAAACAAAGGGTTATCTAGGAAAACCCCAAATATTTGAAAATTAAAGAATATACTTCAAAATATTCCATGAGTCAAAGAAGAAATCACACAAAATTAGAAGCATTTTGTAGAATGAAGCTAAGACAGAGCTTGGAGGGGAATTTATAGCCATAAATGCTTTGGTTAGAAAAGAATCTTTGAAATTCCTTTCATTCTTCCCCTTCTTGTATGTCCATTTTTTACATGTTTTCTCATTGTCCCACAGTTCTTAGATAGGCTCTGTCTTTTCCATTCCTTCTTCCTCTTTGCATTCCTCCAGGTGCACTGATTCTGTTCTCAGTCATGTCTAATCTTTTGGTAAGCCATCAAAGGCATTCTCCATTTCAATTATAGTGAGTTTTTCTTTTTATTTCCAGCATTTCCTTTTGATTTTTTCTTAAAGTTTCCATCTCTCTGCTTATATTACATATGTGTTGGGAAAAGCTGAGTGTTGGGAGAAGCTGAGGCAGGGCTTGCATGTCTGACATAATGTAAAAGAGTCTTGGAACATGTCCGGGGGCCAGGGTCTAAAACCTCTTGTGGCCTTTGGAACACCCAGTTCTGTGCTAAAGGGTGGAAGGCTGCCCTGTCACACCGTAGTCTAAGCCCAGGGCATAAAACCCCTCATGGCTTGGATACAGTCCAGGTCTCGTGGCTCTAGAATGTGTCTAGACTTGCTGGCTCCTTGCTCTTTGCTCTCCCAGGATCGATTGTATCTTGAATTAAAAGAACCTGCTCTCCATGATCACAAGTAGCAGAGCAAATGCTAAACCATCACAGCTGTAAATCATGTAAATCATGTGCTCGATGCAACGCGCCCTTTTGACCTCCACATTCTCACCACCTGTTTCTTTGTTGGATTACCAATAAGTAGCGTGGGGTCCCAGCGCTCAGGGCCTTCGCAGCCTCCATACACTAGTGATGGCCCTGTGGTCCCACTTCTCTCTCTCATAGACTGTCTTTTTGTCAATCCTTTGACTCCACCAGGCTTCGTCGCCCCCACGACCTGGTGTTGGGTCTGATCACCCCAACACATATGTGTTCTCACATCTTGTCTACTTTTTCCACTAGAGCTGTTGGCATATTATAGGTTTGTTTTTTGTTTTTTTGAGATGGCGTCTGTCTCTGTTGCCCAGGCTGGAGTGCAGTGGCATGATCTCGGCTCATTGTAACCTCTGCCTCCTGGGTTCAAGCGATTCTCCTGCCTCAGCCTCCAGAGTCACTGGGATTACAGGTGCCCACCGCCACGCCTGGCTAACTTTTTGTATTTTTTAGTAGAGACAGGGTTTCGCCATGTTGGCCAGGCTGATCTTGAACTCTTGACCTCAGGTGATCGACCTGCCTCAGCCTCCCAAAATGCTGGGATTATAGGTGTGAGCCACTGCACCTGGGCCAATTATAATTTTAAGATGACAATCTAATGACTCCAACCTCTGCCATATCTGAGTCTGGTCTGATGCTTGCTTTGTCTCTTAAAACTGTGCTTTTGTCTTTTAATATGCTCTGTAATTTTTTGTTAACAGCCAGACATTTTGTCCTGGGTTAAAGGAACCGAGGTAAGTAGGCCTTCGCTGTGAGGTTTTGTGTTTATCTGGCTAAGACCTAGGTTGCATTTACTATGCTGCAGGCATCAGAGGCTAACATTCCTTCTGGTGTCCTTGCTTTGCCTCCCCTGTTGTCTTTGGGTTTCTCTAGAGACCTCTTCCTACATAATGTCTGAGACACACAGTGTTTTCAGTTGTCCCCTGCTGAGCCCTACTGATGTGATGGTCAACTCTTGGGGTAGGGAAGCCTTCTGAAGTCTTAGGATTAGGTCTCAGCCTGCGAATGGGCCTGTGGCCCCTGGGCTGTGACCTTCACCACACTTCTCTGTTGTGTTTCATTTTCCCTTTCCATGAGACAGGGAGGCTGGTGTGGGTGGGCGCTGGGTATTTCCCTTCTTACTGCTCTAGTTACTGCTGGCGCCCTTGCCCCGTTCTCCTTGTTTTCTGGAGTTCTAATAACATTTATATTGAACCTTTTGATTGTGTCCCACATTTATCTTACACTCTCCTCTTCATTTTAATTTTTTTCTTTTAGTGTTTCAGTTTGGACCCTTTCTATCATTTTATTTTCTTATTTATTAGTCCCATATTCTTCTCTTTTCAATCTCTGCCATACCCTGTTCTATTTCCAATAAGTTCCTAATTATACATATTGTGTTTTTAGCTTTAAAAATGTCCATTTGACTCATATATGTATATATGAGTCCTATATATAAATTCTAATTCTGTGTTGAAATTTACTGCCTTTCCATCTATTTTGTCATTCTTTTCTATTCTTCTGAACATATGATTATTTTAAAGTCTCTTTATGACCTGTGTATCTGCTCCTAAGTCTGCTTTTATTCTCCCAGGCTTTATTCACAGGTTCTGTCTCTGCATTCCCATAACATTCACTAGTGCACTGGGCATTGTACGTGAAATACTGTAATAACCCCAGATGTCTTCATCTTCCACCAGTCCACCTTCCAGAAGGTAGACTGGGTGAGATCTGATCATCTGAGTTAAACAACAGACTGGGCTGAGTCAAATCTTTGTTGCAGTTCTGGCAACATTCAGTCAGTGTCTGCTTCATCCTGTTCTTTAGATTTGGCCCTCCTGAGCCCAGTGCATTTTTGTCTTCTGGGGCTTAGGGAATATGTGAATTTTTGCTTGGCCTCAGAGAGAACTGTGGCTTAGCTCTTTGTCTTTCCACTCATGCAGCTTCAGAATTCTGCACATCTCCCTACAGGGGGATCACGTTGCAACATTCAACGCTGGGCTGGATTGTCTGTCTCCTTATAGTGGCCTTCTTCCCAGGCCAGGCTTAGATTCTCAGCCTGTAGCTGGCGCTGGATAACAGATGCTTCCAGGGAAAGGCATTTTTGTGATCAACAGCCTCAATTCCCCATTCCGTCTGGGGCGCTCCACTCTCTCATTTTGTTCTCACAGGCCCTGTCCTTCGCAGGCCTTTCTTACCTAAGCACCAAGAGACAGTGAGAAATTCCCCTCTGCTTTTCTGAAAAGAATGAATTTCCACTTAGCTCTGAGAATGACAAATTTCCTTTCTCCTACAAAAGAACGAATTTTTCTTTTGCCATAGCAACAGGTTACTATATGAACCAGTGGAAAACCCATTCTAATTTGTCAACAACAGGGTTTTTACTTATTTGTCATTTACCAGTCCACACACTTCTGAAATGCAGCCAATCCATGATAGAAGAGCAGGCATCAGCCACAACCACAGTCTAGGCATCGTGCTAAAATTCCGACAACTCCTAAACACATCTGCCTCTGATGGTCCACAAATCCCTGAACTCCAAGTGAGATAGAAACCATTGTTCATGACAACAGATTCCTCTTCACTGCCCGGAGATCACTTAAGCCAGACTCCTCTCCACATGCCCTGTGGGAGAAAATGTGGGAAGCAGCTGTGTAGTGATTGCGAATATTTTTATCTAAGACAGACTGAACTCCAACTCAGTGGGTGTCCCAGAGTGTAGACGGGGCTATACTTTAGCCCAGCCCGGATCCCCAGCTCTGTGGTACGCAGCAATAGAGATGCTTAATTTGAAGTCTAAGGAATGCAGGTGGGTTGAAATTCATAACCCCCTCGAATCTATCTGCAAATCGTGTGTATATATGTGCAGTTTTCTGGCAAAAGATTTCACAGCTTTTATCACATTTTTAAGAAGTTAGTGCTTCCAATGGCTAAGAATGTCTCAAATGAATAAATGAATAAGCATATCCTGCATCTGCGTCTTCTAGGGTGCCACAAACATGGTTACTGAGTGTGGAATGCATTCACCCCTTCCCTTATCCACTCAATCTCACCGAGTGGCCCCCGCTGTGAGTTCACAAGGAGAGGAACTTTGGGGTCTAGGTGTGAGTCGGATGTGTGCCCTGTCTCCGGGGAGCATCAGGGAATCTGAGACAGAGGCTGAGCAAGGGAGCGACCAGAGCAGTCAGAGGAGAAAGGAGAGAGGTGGACGATGCCCACATGAAGAGGAGGCAGCATTTGAAATGGGCTTCGTCAGAAGGAAGTCGGGATGCCAGGCAGATATTCCTGGCAGAGTGGGAAGATACAGCATCTGTTCAGGGAAAGGAGGCTGTTCTGTTGGATCAAAGAACATCTTACGTGTCAGAAAAAAGCAGGAGATGGATATGGGATCAGAAGAACTGGATTCTAGCCCCAGTCAGCCCTAGCTTGTTGGGTGAGCTAGAGCCAGCCCTTCCCTCCCTGTGCCTCAGAGCCCTTCTGTGTACACTGGGGATGGTGGAACATGCCATCCCGAGAGCTCTGTGGTCTGTCCACTCAAGACAGCAGACTGGGGCTGTTGTTACTGCTATTATTACTGTCATTGCTCTTGTTCTTACTGCTGACCATGATGTCAAGTCTCTGTCAACTCAGCTCAGAAATTCTTACTGTGACCTCCAATGTGGTGTTGAAAAAAAAGAAATTCCTGTGACACCTCCACTTTGACGTCTAGACATCTCGAGCTCAGTCCAGAGCAAAACTGAGGGTCTTCCCCCGCAGACCTGCTGTTCTTGTCCACAGCCTTTCCTGTCCCAGCTGAAGGCAAATCTGCCTTTTCAGTTGCTCAGGCTGTGAACACTCGTGCCCTCTGATATTCCCGCAAGCATCCAGTCTGTGAAGGAATGACGGCTGGACCTTCCAGATATTTCTCTTCTCACCCCATCCACTGCTCCCCATCTGGTTCAACCCACGTCATTTCTCCCTGGCACTCTGTAACAGTCTCCTAGTGGGCTTTCCTGTGTCTACCTTTGTCCCTTAGTCTATTCCGTGACATGCTCAGAGCTCTGCACATTCTCCCCTAAATCAAGCAGAAACCAAAGCCCTAACACGAAAAATTTGTTCCACGTTGCCTTTGAATTGCTCCTTGACCACTCTCCCCTTTGTCCACTTTAACCCCACGGGCTGCAGCCCCAACATACCAGGGAAAGTTCCTCGCCAAAGCCTTTGCTCTAACAATTCTTTCAACCTGGAATGTGTGTCCTCCAGACAGCGCCGTGGCTGGCTCTGTGGCTCGCTCCGTGTCTTCAATCCTCGCTCAGCTCTTGCCTTCCCACAGACCTTCTCTGACCACCCATTTCCATGCTGTCACTGAACCTGCCCCTCACATTCTTAGACCCCGTTTGTCACTCCTCTTCTTCTCTAAGCCCTTATCACCTTTTAGCATCACGCATTTTGTTCACGATTTATTTGCACTGTCTGTGTTTGGCCTCTCTTGCTAGGACATTAGCTAGAAGAAGAAGAGACATTTGTGTCAATCACCAGTGAGTCCCGGGCACCTGCAGGCTGCGTGGAATAAAGTAGATATTCAGCAAATATTTGTTGGAAGAGTGAATCAGTGAATGAGAAAGAGGAAACTGTTTAACAAGTGAATAAACTAATGGAATTAGAATTTGATAAATCCCTACACTTTACGAAGCTCTCCAGGAACAGCCAAGTTGAGAGCAGAAGTGAGTGGGAAGAGGCATTTTCATGTTGGGGTGATGCTCTACATGTTTCTTACATTGCTGTGGCACTCCATAAGACAAGGGCGCAACTGTAGCTGCAGGAGTTACATTCCCGAAGGCCGGAAGACAGCAGTGCTTGGTGCACTGGCGGATGAGCAAGGAAGTAAGTGTGGCTGCCCTGCAGTGGAGGGGAGAACGCTAAGAAACGAGGCCACAGGCTGTCAGGGCTCACATTTTGCAGAGCCACGGTGTTATGGGTTGAATTGTATCTTCCCAAAATCCATGTGTCAAAGTCCTAACCCTCCATACCTCAGAATGGGATCTTATTTGGAGATACGATCTTTACAGGGGTAATCAGATTAAAAGGAGGCTATGACAAAACAAACAAAAATGAGGCCATTAGGGTTGGCCCCTCATCCACTATGACTGTGTCCTCATAAAAAGGGGAAGTTGGAGATAGGGAGAATACCACATGAAGATGAGGGTGGAGATTGGGGTGTTGCCTCTAGAAGCCGAGGAATGCCAAAGCTTGCCAGCAAACCACGAGAAGCCAGGCAGGCGGCGTGGAGCAAATCCCCTCTCACAGAAGGAACCGGCCCTGCCATCACCTTGATCTCGGACTTCCAGCCTCCAGGACCATGAGACAACACATATCTGCTGTGTAAGCCACATGGTTTGTGGAACTTGGTGACAGCGGCTCTTGGAAACAAACACACATGGCAAGAAGTTTTAGATTTGCTAGGCGTGAGGAGGAGCCTCTGGAGGGATCAGGGGTGTGATATTTTATTATTATTATTATTAATTTGTATTGTGGTAAAAAATGCAGACTATAAGCCTTATCATCTTCACCATTTCTCAGTGTACATGCAGTGCAGCAGTAAATATATTCACACTGTTGTACAACCATCAGCACCATCCATCTCCAGAACGTTTTCCTCTTGCAAAACGGCAACTCTGTACTTGTTAAACAACTCCCTGCTCCCCCTGCCCCCAGCCGCTGGCAACCACCATTCTGCTTTCTATAGAATGCTCTGTGTTAGAATGCTCTAGGTATCTCATATAAGCGGACTTATACGGTATTTGTTCTTTTGTGACTGGTTCTTTTCACTTAACATCATGTCCTCAAGGCTTCTCCGTGTTGCGCCAGAATTTCCTTCCTTTTGAAGGCTGACATGTTGAAAGATTGCACCGACTGCAGTGTGAGAACTGGTGGGAGGCAGGTAGAGCGGTTGGGCAGCCTGTCGGAGCAATCGTCGCTGCCTCTTCCCAGAGCCCGTTGAATGTGGCTGTGGATGGTGAGTAGGGATGACAGCTCATCACTGCCCCTGCAGCTCCTTCCACCAGCTCCCTCTCTGGCAATGGGGGATATTCACGCAGGGTGAATTCTAACTCCCTCCTCAGACCAGCACCTGCAAGTCGATCTGGAGTTTCCTAACCTGTGCCTGAGCTGCTGCAGGTCTCTGCGTTGCTGGCACGTGCCAGCTTTCTTTCTGGGGCTTGAATTGCTCACTGCCTTTAGCCCCCTGTGATATATGTGACCACATCCCCACGTGGCAGGTCCTCATCGCATGAGTGTCACTGCGTCTGCAGCTCCTTGGTCCCAGTGGGATCTGGAACATGGCACTTTGTCTCCTGGGGCCCAGCTTTCCTCATTCAGGCAGTGGGCCTGTATCAGCACCGATTCCATGTTAAAGAAGAATTTTCCTTGCTCGAGTGTATGACTGCTTTGCTGAAGCTGGTAGACTTATTCACTAAAAACAGCCTCAAGAAAAGAGGACCTTGAGCATAGGTGAGAGAGAAATGCGCTAACAATCCCGGGAGCAGGCTGCCTGGCAGTTTTCTACCACCAGATAAGAAGACTCTGGCTGTGCCTGCAAAAGGTCACAAGACACTCACCAAGACAGCAGTGATGAACTGCCTGCCTGGGGCTGCGCGCATAGCTGCTGTTGCAAAGAATGCTTTGATCATCATTTGCGCTTCCCTAACTTCCCTTAAAAACCACTGATCTAGAGACACAACTCAAAGAAGGAGTCTTTGAACACACATCACTGCCTCCTCCTGGATTGCCCACTTATCACATAAAGCTAACTTTCTTTTACTGAAGCTTGTCTCTTGAGTTTTGCCTTCAAGTGATGCGTAGCCCAGATGTGAGTTCACTTACAGGTCCCTCCTCCTGGCTGGTGTCTTGTAAAGTTTTTTTTTTTTTTCCAGGGTATTCTTTATTATTATTATTATTATTATACTTTAAGTTTTAGGGTACATGTGCACAACGTGCAGGTTTGTTACATATGTATACATGTGCCATGTTGGTGTGTTGCACCCATTAACTCATCATTTACATAGATATATCTCCTAATGCTGTCCCTCCCCTAGCCCCCCACCCCACAACAGTCCCCAGTGTGTGATGCTCCCCTTCCTGTGTCCAAGTGTTCTCATTGTTCAGTTCCCACCTATGAGTGAGAACATGTGGTATTTGGTTTTTTGTCCTTGCTATAGTTTGCTGAGAATGATGGTTTCCAGCTTCATCCATGTCCCTCCAAAGGACACGAACTCATCATTTTTTATGGCTGCGTAGTATTCCATGGTGTACATGTGCCACATTTTCTTAATCCAGTCTATCATTGTTGGACATTTGGGTTGGTTCCAAGTCTTTGCTATTGTGAATAGTGCCACAATAAACATACGTGTGCATGTGTCTTTATAGCAGCATGATTTATAATCCTTTGGGTATATACCCAGTAATGGGATGGCTGGGTCAAATGGTATTTCTAGTTCTAGATCCCTGAGGAATTGCCACACTGACTTCCACAATGGTTGAAATAGTTTACAGTGCCACCAATAGTGTAAAAGTGTTCCTATTTCTCCACATCCTCTCCAGCACCTGTCGTTTCCTGACTTTTTAATGATCGCCATTCTAACTGGTGTGAGATGGTATCTCATTGTGGTTTTGATTTGCGTTTCTCTGATGGCCAGTGATGATGAGCATTTTTTCATGTGTTTTTTGGCTGCATAAATGTCTTCTTTTGAGAAGTGTCTGTTCATATCCTTCGCCCACTTTTTGATGGGGTTGTTTGTTTTTTTCTTGTAAATTTGTTGGAGTTCATTGTAGATTCTGGATATTAGCCCTTTGTCAGATGAGTAGGTTGCAAAAATTTTCTCCCATTCTGTAGGTTGCCTGTTCACTCTGCTGGTGGTTTCTTTTGCTGTGCAGAAGCTCTTTAGTTTAATTAGATCCCATTTGTCAATTTTGGCTTTTGTTGCCATTGCTTTTGGTGCTTTAGACATGAAGTCCTTGCCCATGCCTATGTCCTGAATGGTGTTGCCTAGGTTTTCTTCTAGGGTTTTTATGGTTTTAGGTCTAACATTTAAGTCTTTAATCCATCTTGAATTAATTTTCGTGTAAGGTGTAAGGAAGGGATCCAGTTTCAGCTTTCTACATATGGCTAGCCAGTTTTCCCAGCACCATTTATTAAATAGGGAATCCTTTCCCATTGCTTGTTTTTGTCAGGTTTGTCAAAGATCAGATAGTTGTAGATATGCGGCATTATTTCTGAGGGCTCTGTTCTGTTCCATTGGTCTATATCTCAGTTTTGGTACCAGTACCATGCTGTTTTGGTTACTGTAGCCTTGTAGTATAGTTTGAAGTCAGGTAGTGTGATGCCTCCAGCTTTGTTCTTTTGGCTTAGGATTGACTTGGCAATGCGGGTTCTTTTTTGGTTCCATATGAACTTTAAAGTAGTTTTTTCCAATTCTACAAAGAAAGTCAAACGGAGTCTTGCTCTGTCACCAGGTTGGAGTGCAGTGGCACGATTTTGGCTCACTGCAACCTCTGCCTCCTGAGTTCAAACGATTCCCCTGCCTCAGCCTCCCAAGTAGCTGGGAATACAGGCATGCACCATCACGTCTGGCTGATTTTTTGTATTTTAGTAGAGATGGGGTTTCACCATGTTGGCCAGGATGGTCTTGATGTCCTGACCTGGTGATCCGCCTGCCTCAGTCTCCCAAAATGCTGGGATTACAGGCATGAGCCACCATGCCCAGCCTTGGAAAGTTTTTATCTAGTGTCTGGCATATACCAAACCCTCAATAAGAGTAAACAGTGACTATGGCTGTTAATATTGTTCTCCCTATATTGTGTCTGGATATCAGAAGGTGAGGCCATTATGTGTGTTCCCACAGTGGAGTCACATGGATGGTGAGTAGGGATGACAGTCAAGAGGGGTGCCCAGTGAGGGCTTCTCTCTCTCAATCTATGGGGTCAGGAGTCATCGTGGAAAGAGCCCTGGAGGTGCTTGAACTTCCTCCTGTTAGTGATCATGGCCATCACTCAGCTGCTATCTAAAATGATCAGTAGGATCAGCCTGAAACCTACAAGGGCTGAGAAGTCATCTTTGAAGTTAGAAACAAAGAAGGGTTAGCGATGGTGGAGGACCCTGAAGTCAGCACTGGGGAGAGTGAATGGGGGTAGACGCTGGGGAGGAAAAGCGGACTGCCCAGTGACTTTAACAGGAAAAGAGAACATGGGGACCAGGTCTGGGGCCAAGAAGAGGACCTTGAATGGAGCAGTGGACTCAAGTGGCAGCTGTGGGAGGCTTCTAGGTGCCAAGGCCTTTCTGGCTCCTGTGCTCAGATTCTGCTCCTCAAGAACAGTCAGGACTGCCTGGGGTGCCTGGGCCACTCCCAGCAAAGCTGAACTCCTCGGCCTCTCAGCCCCTCAGCTTAACCCCTGTGGCATCTGAGTGACCCACTTATCTCCAGCCTCATCCAGTCCTAACCAGGCCCCTCTCTCCCTGTTGACTGGCCACCATCAGCTGAGGTTGACTCCCACATGAGCAGGCACAGGCTAATCCACTAAGAGGTCTCAGTAAAGAATGAAGCATTTCACAAATGTGAGGAATGAGGCCAGGTGCAGTGGCTCATGCCTGTAATCCCGGTACTTTGGGAAGTGAGGTGGATAGATCCCTTGAGCCCAGAAGTTTGAGACCAGGCAACATGGGGAGACTCGGTCTCTACAAAAGTATACAAAAATTAGCCAGGTGCATTGATGTGTGCCTGTAGTCCCAGCTACTACAGAGGCTGAGGTGGGAAGATCGCTTGAGCCCAGGAGGTCAAGGCTGTAGGTCAGCCAAGATTGCACCACTGCACTGCAGCCTCGGTGACAGAATGAGACTGTCCCAAGAAAAAAAAAAAAGCAAGAAATGGTTATTGGGATAATATATGTTCAATTCTGTCTACTATCAGTCTGCATCCTAAGACTTCAACCTCATCATGCCCATTTAGATGACACCAGGCAAAGATAATCAATGCTCACCAAATATCAAGGGACGTATTTTGACACACATGAGCCCATTTCATCTTCGGAACAGTGCTACACACTGACTATTATTACCTCCATTTGGCAAATGAGACAAAATGAGGTTCAGAAGTGTTTTGTGAACTGTCCAAGGACATGGACTAAAGTAAATCAAAGAATGCATATGTTGGCACCACCATCTGCCCAGCTTCAAGGCGTGGCCTGAATCCACATCACTGTCAGGGTGACCAGCCATCCTGGTTTGCCTGGGACAGTTCCATCTTCAGCACTGAAAGATCTGTGTCTTGGGAAACCCCTCAGTCCCAAGCAAGCTGGGATGGTTGGTCACCCTAACAGTGTGCTGTTTCCTGGCTGATGACGGGATATGAAAGGGTGCAGAAAAGAGTCTGCTAAGTTCAATGCACAGTGAAAAGTACTGAAGCTCAGCAGGGCACAGGGGCTCACACCTATAATCCCAGCACTTTGGGAGGCTGAGGCGGGTGGATCATGAGGTCAGGAGTTCGAGACTAGCCTGGCCAACACGGTGAAACCTCGTCTCTACTAAAAATACAAAAATTAGCTGGGCATGGTGGTGTGCGCCTGTAATCCCAGCTACTTGGAAGGTTGAGGCAGGATAATTGCTTGAACTCAGGAGGAGGTCGCAGTGAGCCGAGATTGCGCCACTGCACTCTAGCCTGGGCAACAGAGCAAGACTCTGCCTCAAAAAAAAAGAAAAGAAAAGTATTGAAGCGCCGAAGGAATGCATGCATGGCTCAGGTATTAACAGTGTGTTCTCTAGTGGGCTCTAGAGACAACAAACAGAAGGAATTAGAGAAATATGTCTCAGGACTGTAGGCAACCAGACTGTTGTCTAAAGATACGGAGGGAAATAAGCAGCTCCCACAAAAGAACAAGGCAGAGAAATGATAAGACTATCCATGGCCTGATACGTGGCACACCAACAAGTCTCAAATGTTTTTGTTCTGAGGTGAGCCTCATGAGCATTGGTGTGTCCTGGATGGTTATGACAGGAGAATTCTCTCGTCCTGAGAGAATATAGATAAATCTTAAATAGAAACAAGATGTACAAGTATAGCAATGCTCCTTTTTTCTCCGAGATGCTCATGATTTGTGCAAACATAGTCAAAGCTCCCGAAAATATGCTGTTCCTCAAACCGTCCTTCTTTATAACCAAATTTTGGTCTGGTCTCAGCAGGGTTACGTAGCATTTAGGAGCAAATACGCATCCCAGCAGCCCCGGGCTGGAGGCCAACATGGAGACCTCCCTGACCCCCATGGCCTTGCCCCTGGTGCGCAGGTTGGCGAGCAGGAAGGATACCCGGTCACTGTGGGACCACGGGCATGCAGAACATTAGGAACTTGGCCTCACAGAAGGTATCACAGAGGTTTCCAGCTGCAAAAGTGACAGAAAAGCTGACCACAGCCAGGAAGCAGCCAGGACACAGTAGGAGGCAGTGACTGGCCCCTCACTGCCCTCCAGGCTGATGTGTCCAGGCTCAGATAAGGGCCTGCGTCTGGGGAGAGAGGAGGGTTCACTAGCCACCCCCATAGAGCATCACGTGGACCAGGGAGCAGGTGAAAATGCAGGAGTTAGAAGCTCTGGGTGCTATGAGCTGCCAGATGCTGCTCCCTGGCCTTACGGTTTTACAGACCAGAACCACAACGATCATCTTCTGACATAGTGGGAACAGCTCCTGGGAATATGATTCCAAGGGTGGATGGTCTGGAGAGGCAGGTCGCTGTGGTAGGACTGTCAGAGGCGTCCGAGCCAGAGCGACTCCATGTTGAATAGGGACTGGGTAAAACAAGGCTGAGGCCTCCTGGGCTGCATTCCCAGACGGTTAGGCGTTCTAAGTCACAGGGTGAGATAGGAGATCGGCACAAGATACAGGTCAGAAAGACCTTGTTGATAAAACAGGCTGCAGTAAAACAGCCGCAAAACCCACCAAAACGAAGATGGTGACGAGAGTGACCTCCGGGCATCCTCGCTGCTCCACTCCCACCAGCGCCATGACAATCTACAAATGCCGTGGCAACGTCGGGAAGTTCCCCTCTATCGCCTAAAAAGGGGAGGCATGAACGATGTACCCCGTGTTCAGCATATAATCGAGAAATAATTATAAAAACGGGCAACCAACAGCCCTTGGGGCTGCTCTGCCTATTAGAGTAGACATTCTTCTAATTCCTTTACTTTTTTTTTTTTTTTTTTGAGACGGAGTCTCGCTCTGTCGCCCAGCCTGGAGTGCAGGGGCGTGATCTCGGCTCACTGCAAGCTCCGCCTGCTGGGTTCACGCCATTCTCCTGCCTCAGCCTCCCGAGTAGCTGGGACTACAGGCGCCCGCCACCACGCCCGGCTAATTTTTTGTATTTTCAGTAGAGACGGGGTTTCACCGTGTTAGCCAGGATGGTCTCGATCTCCTGACCTCGTGATCCACCCGCCTCGGCCTCCCAAAGTGCTGGGATTACAGGCGTGAGCCACTGCTCCAGGCCTAATTCCTTTACTTTCTTAATAACCTTGCTTTCACTTTATGGTATGGATTCACCTCAAATTCTTTCTTGTGCGAGATCTAAGAACCCTCTCTTAGGGTCTGGATTGGGACCCCTTTCAGGTAACAGGACCCCCAGAGAAGAGCAGGGAGCAGAGGACACAAAGGGAATGAGGTGAGGAGAATGGATTTAGGTTGGTGCAAAAGTCATTGCAGTTTTGCCATTAAAAGTAATGGCACCAATCTAATAGCTGAGAGACCAGCTGTGGACTTTGACAATGGGAGTGTCTCAGTGCTTCACAAAGACCTCAGAACCAGGGCTGTGAGGAGAGAGAAGGACAGAGCTGCACAGGCTAGGTCTTCCCAAGGGTTCTAAGTCCAGGAAGGTGGTGGCCATGGGCAGCCAGCGATCCCTTGGCCTGCGGTGCTGGGCACATCTCACACCTCCCCAAACCGGGAAAGGACAACAGGGATGAGTTCAGAAATAGCATCTGGAGTCTGGGCACGGTGGCTCACACCTGTAATCCCAGCACTTTGGGAGGCCGAGGCAGGCAGATCACCTGAGGTCAGAAGTTTGAGACCAGCCTGGCCAACCTGGGGAAACCCCATCTCTATTAAAAATAAAAAAATTAGCTGGGCGTGGTGGCAGGTGCCTGTAATCCCAGCTACTCGGAAGACCGAGCTTGCAGTGAGCCGAGATCGCGTGACCGCACTCCAGCCTGAGCAACAGAGTGAGACTCGGTCTTAAAAAAAAAAAAAAAAGAAAAAGAAAAGAAAAAAGAAGTAGCGTTTGGACCATAACTAAAGCAGCCCAACTTAAACTGAGTGTCTGCTCAGCTCTTTCTAATGCCTGCTGTTTCCTGTCTCCTCCTCTGGGCCTACAACCCACCTCCGTGGGCTCATGCCCTTGAATCCTAGTCTGACTGTAACTCGTCCCTTCAGACCAAAGACATCTATTTCTTTTTATCTTTATTTACAGGAATATGATTTGATTATTTTGGATTTCTCTTCTTTAAACATCTCGGTCTCTATGTAAAGTTACAGAAATCAATCCATTGCAGGCACTGTGCTGAGCTTTCAGGTTAACTCTCTCGCCAAATACTCATGGGAAGCCTGTGAAGGAGGCCTCAGGTGTCCCAATTTACAGACAAGAAGGCTGAGGCTCTAAAAAATGAAGGACCTCGGCCGGGTGCGGTGGCTCACGCCTGTAATCGCAGCACTTTGGGAGGCTGAGGCAGGTGGATCATGAGGTCAGAAGATCGAGACCATCGTGGCTAACACGGTGAACCCCCGTCTCTACTAAAAATACAAAAAAATTAGCTGGGCGTGGTGGCGGGCGACTGTAGTCCCAGCTACTGGGGAGGCTGAGGCAGGAGAATGGCGTGAACCCCGGAGGCGGAGCTTGCCGTGAGCTGAGATTGTGCCACTGCACTCCAGCCTGGGGGACAGAGCAAGACTCCGTCTCGAAATAAATAAATAAATAAATAAATAAATAAATAAGGACCTCATCCGGTCCAGCCAATGGCTACCCTTTGCTGTTAGAAGAAAGGCCCGGGCCCTAAGATGCCCAGAGGATCCAAAATGAACTGGCTTGTCCAGCCTCACCCTGTACTTTTCTCTTCTCCTTCTTTATCCCAGCATCAGGGGTCTTCCTGCAGTAGCTCAGATGCAGTATGTCCTTCCCTCTGCCTGGAATGCTGTACCCCAACCCATCCTTCATCTCATAACCCACGCTCTCCCCATTTTCAATGCGGCTTCCTCCGAGAAGCCTCCTAAAGAGGCTGATCAGGTGCCCTGGGCCACGCCCTCAACACCTACCATCCTATTCTCTTCCTCACCCTTAGCACCAGGTTTTGACTAGACACATATTTTATAGATGTTTGCCTCCACGACCCCGGGAGAGGAAAGTCCACACAAGCAGGAATTATGCCTTTTTTCCCTCACTGTATTTTCCCTAGCACTGAGTACAATGCCTGGCCTGCTAGTAGGTAATAGTTATGATGTAAGTAATGAAGGGGTGAATGGATTAATTCTGTAGTCAGAAACGGCTTTTATTTCCAATTTTGACATTTAATGTACAAGTGAACTCACACAAGGGACATTTTCATTCTAAAGTTCAGTTTTATTATCTAAAATGGGGATCATAATACTGACCTTATAACATAAGCATGAGTAATATATGTGACAGTGCATGTAGAAGACCCAGCAGAAGCTCTGGCAGGTATTAAACACCAGCAGCTGGCGGCCGCCATCATTGTCACATCCATCATCATCTCCACCGTGACCATCGTCACAAAGGCTGCCTGCAGATGGGTGTGGTGGCTCTCACCTGTAATCCTGGCACTTTGGGAGGCCAAGGCAGGTGTATCACGAGGTCAGGAGTTCAAGATCATCCTGACCAACATGATGAAACCCCATTTCTACTAAAAATACAAAAATTAGCCGGGCGTGGTGGTGAACACCTGTAATCCCAGCTACTCAGGAGGCTGAGGCAGGAGAACTGCTTGAACCCGGGAGGCGGAGGTTGCAGTGAGCCAAGATTGTGCCACTGCACTCCAGCCTGGGTTACAGAGCAAGACTCCATCTCAAAAACAAACAAACATACAAACAAACAAACAACAAACAAAATCAAAGGCTTCCCTGTGATTCATCAGTCAGGTCCAGCTCTCTCCCTGTCCTGGCTAAATTCTGGATCCAGTGCCTTCCCAAGTCTTCTGCCTGTCAGATCCTTTTCCACCTGAGATTCGTCAGTCTCAGTTTGTGTTACTCTGACAACCTCAAATCACCTGTCCTGAAGATCACATTAATTAGGCACGAGCCCCATCTTCCCTGTGTGCACACAGGACCAGGAGGAAGACATGGGCTCCCTAGAGCTTCCCTCCCTCACCAGGCTGCCCACAGGAGGAGCCGACAGTCAGACATAGGCTTGGCCTCATAAAAATGAAACAATAAGGGGAGTTGGTCTTTGATATGCCAGGCTCTGGGGTTAGGTGTGGGGCATTTTCTCAGGATTAGTAGTCATGATCCCACCTTCGGTTCTCAGGTGAATAGTACCTCAAATTCTCTTCCTAATCCCACATCCAAACCTGCTCTCGAGTCTCCTGTTTCACTTGAAGTCCTCCTGATTCTGTAACAACCTACAGGGACACTTTCACAAGAGTTTTATAAACTCTGTAGTGAACAGATGGACGTTCAGACAGACAGATGTTTGGACCCATTGACATTCAGGAAGGCAGGCAGGGGGACATTAGGACAGAAGAACATACATTCAGATAGACAAATGTTTGGAGAGATGAACAGACATTTTGATAAACTGATGTTCCAACAGATGGGTGTGCCAACATGAAGATGTTCAGACTTAAGGATGGTCAGACACGTGGATGGGTTCTCATACAAACACATTCAGACAGATGGATGTTATGACAGATGGGAATTCCAACATACAGCAATTCCAACACATGCACACTCAGACACATGGATGCCCAGACGGACAGGCAGATGTTCAGGCAGACAGGTGTTTAGGCGGATGGACAGAGTTGCAGAGAGATAGACATACAGAGAGATAGACACTGGAACATACAGAAAGTCGGCTTGTCAGACAGACATTCCCACGTACGAGCATCTGACACACAGGGTATGTTCTGTAGGCACGCCTATCTGCTGGAATGGCCTCTGTCTGCCCAAACGTCCATTTTCCTCACTGTCCTGTCATAATGTCTGTCTGTCAGAATGCATATCATCTGTCTGAACATCAGTCTACAGGAACAAGCATTTGAACATCCATCTGTCACAACTGCTGTACATTGGCACGCCCTTCTCCCAAAACACCTGTTTGTCTGAACATCTGTCCACCTGCAGACCTTCAGATGGATCCAGTCTGTCTATCAGATACTCAGCCTATCTGCTTGAAAAACCATCTATGTGAATGTCTGTCCCTATGTCCATAAGTCCATCAGTCTGAATGTCTGTCTGTTCATTTGTCTGAATGTTGTTCTGTCTCAACAGCCATCTGTCTGTCAGGGCATCTGGGCATCTGTCCAAATATCTATCTGTACATCTGGCCATGTGTCTGAATATCCAGCTCTCTGACACTCTGTCTGTCTGATGCCCATCATTCTGAACACCCCTCCATCCTCCAATAACGTCTGAATTTCTGTTTGTCAGAACATCCACCTGTAAGAACATGTGTGTGTCTGAACATCTTTGTGACTGAGCGAACATCTGTTTGAGCACCCACCTATCTGAATGTTTCCTCCTGTCCATCCATCCACCATCTGTCCATTTGAATGTCTTCTCAGAATGCCTGTCTGCCAAAACACCCACCTGCCAGAATATCTGTTCACGTGTCTGAATGTCCATCAGTCAGTATGCCCATCTGCCACAATGTGTGTGTGAATCTTTCCACCTGTCCCAAGGTCTGTCTGTCCAAATGTCTATCTGTCTGAATGTCTGTCCATCTGTCTGAAAGTGATCTGTCTAAATGTCTGTTGGCCTGCCCAAATGACCTCCTGTCTGAATGTCCATCTGTCCAAATATCTATCTGTTTAAGCATCTATTGGTCAATGTGTCCATCAGTATGAAGAGCTATCCAATCATCTGTGTGTCTGCATTTTTGTGTGTGAAAACACCCATCGGTAGGAACATCTGTCTGTCTGAAAGTCTCTCCTTTGGGAACATCCATTTACATCTTTCTGAACACGAATCTGTCGGAATATCCATACGTTGGAAAGTCCATCTCTGACCATCTGTGTGTCATAACGCCCGTCTGTCAGAATGCACATTTGACAGTCTGAATGCCTGTCCATCTGTTTCAACATCCATCTGTTGGAATGTCCGTCTGTCTGAACTTCTGTCCATCTGTCTAAATGTCAGTCCGTCCAAACATCTGTATGAACATCTTCTGTTGGAACTTCTTGTGTGTCAGAATGCCCATCTGCTGGAGTGTCTGTCTGTCTAAACTTCTGTCCATCTGTCAGAATATCTGTCTCTCTGAATGGAACATCTGTCCATGTGTCTAATCATCTGTGTCTGAACATGCATATTTCTGATTCATGTGTCTGAACACCTGTCTGTCAGAATGTCTGTCCATCTGTCAGAATGCACTTGTCTGTTTTCTATTTTTTATTTTTTGAAACGGAGTCTCGCTCTGTCACCCAGGCTGGAATGCAATGGCACGATCTTGGCTCACTGCAACCTCTGCCTCCCGGGTTCAAGCAATTCTCCTGCCTCAGCCTCCCGAGTAGCTGGGATTATAGGCGCCCGGCACCACACCCAGCTAATTTCTGTATTTTTAGTAGAGATGAGGTTTCACTGTGTTAGCCAGGCTGGTCTCCAACTCCTGGCCTCAGGTGATCTGCCTGCCTCAGCCTCCCAAAGTGCTGGGATTACAGGTGTGAGCCACCCACCCAGCCAGAATGCACTTGTCTGAACATCTGTGTGTCTCTCTGAATGTCTGCGTGTCTGAACATCCGTCTGTCAGTACACCCGTCTGCAGGAAAGTCTGCTGAGGGAGGCGTGTCTCAGTGGGGCCATATTTGGAGAGCACAACCCTCCTCAGTGCTCCGTGGCTCTGCAGCTCCTTTGTTTACTGCTCTGGGACGGAGGGCTACCTCCCTTCTCTCACACATCTGGCTGCTGCAGGATTTCCATTTTTGCCATAGTGTAGGGGTATGTGGCCACAGGGTGGTAATAAGTACTTTTGAGATTTAAGGCCTGTTTTAATTTTTGTATGAATCGTCAGGATTCTGATTCAGGATTCTGTTTTACTGGTTTCCTTGTAGCACTTAAACAGTGCTGCCAAATCAGTTTGGAATGTGTCGTCATTGGAATGCAAAGCCGTACCTCACACTGGTCTAAAGTGGGTGAAAGCACCCCGGGTTAGTGCAGGAGGGAGCAGGCCTTCCTCAGAACTGAGGGTGCACACACCACGCACACATGCTGCTCTTGTCGGATTTTCCCGGCAGACACACAAGCGATTAGGCACCAAAATAGCCAACAAAAATTGCCTTTATTGGAAGGGCATGGTTTACAGTTCCCAGATTCTTTTTTTTTTTTTTTTTTGAGACAAAGTCTCACTCTGTTGCTCAGGCTGGAGTGCAGGGGCGCTATCTTAGCTCATTGCAACCTCCGCCTCCAGAGTTCAAGCAATTCTCCTGCCTCAGCCTACCAAGTAGCTGAGACTGCAGGTGTGTACCACCATACTCAGCTAATTTTTGTATTTTTAGTAGAGATAGGGTTTCACCCTGTTGGCCAGGCTGGTGTTGAGCTCCTGACCTCAGATGATCCACCCACCTTGGCCTCCCAAAGTGCTGGGATTACAGGTGTGAGCCACTGCACCCGACCAACGGTTCCCAGATTCTTAATCCAACAAGAGTATGACAGGCTTGTAGCTGTTGTCCGTTTCTTCCTGCTCACCTTTCTCATGGAAGGAATTTCAAAAGAAACCACGAGGTGTTTGTATGTGTTTATCTTTTGGAAGAACAGAAGTATGGGAAATGTATAAATTGAAATGGCTTCTAAACTAAATAGTTTTTAAAAAAAAGACAGCTATATTTTAGCATAAGAAACAGTATTAGATTGAAGAGATTCTCTACATAACACTTTGTTTAGTATAAACAGAAATTAATCTGTTCATGGTCCTAAATTGGGCTCAGAGTTTCTCTTAGTGAGAAACCCATCCGTTTATACTTTCCCATATGCCATTTTTGAAAGATTCTACCCTAGTAAACTAAAATTTTACGGTTTATGAATAATACTGTTAAGCTTCCTTTCGGTGAAGAAAGCTACTACTTTAGCTGTAGTAATCAAAACGGTATGGTACTAGCCTAAAAATGGACACCTAGACCAATGGTGCCGAGTAGAGAAGCCAGGAATAATGCTCTTCCCCATACACATGGTCAACTTACCTTCAACAAGGCACCAAGAAAATAAAACAGAGGAAGGATGGTCTCTTCAATAAATGGTGTGGAAAACTGGATATCCACAGGCAAAAGAATGAGACTGAACTCCTTTCTTACATCATACACAAAAATCAACTAAAAATGTATGAAGGATTTAAACGTAAGACCTGAAACTGTAAAACTTCTAGAAGAAAACGTAGAGGAAAAGCTCCTTGACATTGGTCTTGGTGATAATTGTTTGGACATGACAACAAAAGCACAGACAACAAAAGTAAAAATAAACAAGTGGGATTATATCAAACTAAAAGGTCTGCAGAGCAAAGGAAACAATTGAAAAGAAAACCTACAGAATGGGAGAAACTGTCTGCAACCCACATACCTGATAAAAGGTTAACAACCACAATATACAAGGAACTCAAACAGTTCACTAGCAAAGAAACCTCCAAATAACCCAATTTAAAAATGGGTACTGGCTGGGTGTGGTGGCTCACGTCTGTAATCCCAGGGCTTTGGGAGGTCGAGGCGGGCAGATTACTTGAGGTCAGGAGATTGAGACCAGCCTGGCCAACATGGTGAAAGCCTGTCTCTACTAAAAACACAAAAATTAGCTGGGCGTGGTGGCGCATGCCTGTAACCCCAGCTACTTGGGAGGCTGAGGCAGGAGAATCGCTGGAACCTGGGAGGTGCAGGTTGCAGTGAGCCGAGATTGCGCCATTGCACTCCAGCCTGGGTAACAGGAGCAAGACTCCGTCTCAAAAAAAAAAAAAAATCATAATCAGAGATCACCTCATTGGGAGGATGGCTATTATATTAAAAACGAAATGGCCGGGCGCAGTGGCTCACGCCTGTAATCTCGGAACTTTGGGAGGCCGAGGTGGACGGATCACCTGAGGTCAGGAGTTCGAGACCAGCCTGACCAACATGGAGAAACCCTGTCTCTACTGAAAATACAAATTAGCCAGGCATGGTGGTGCATGCCTGTAATCCCAGCTACTCAGGAGGCTGAGGCAGGAGAATCGCTTGAACCCGGGAGGTGGAGGTCGTCGTGAGCCGAGATTGCACCATTGCACTCCAGCCTGGGCAACAAGGGCAAAACTCTGTCTCAAAAAAAAAAGAAAAGATAAGTGTTGGCGAATATGTGGGAAAACAGAAACTCTGATACATTATTGGCGTGAATGTAAATTGGTACAGCTATTATGGAAAACGGTGTGGAGGTTACTCAAACAATTAAAAATAGAACGATCATATGATCCAGCAATCCTAATTTTGGGTATTTATCCAAAGGAACTGAAATCAGGATCTCAAAGAGACACTGCCCTCCCATGCTCGCTGCAGTGTTATTCACAATAGCCAAGATATGGAAACAACCGACATGTCCATCGACGGAGGAATGGATGAAGAAGCATGGTATGTATATGCAATGGAATGGGGTTCAGTCATAAAAACAGAAGTGACATTCTGCCACTTGTGACAATTTGGCTGAGCCTGGAGGACATCATGCTAACCGAAATAGGCCACATACAGAAAGACAAATACTGCCTGGTTTCAGTGTGATGAGGAACTTGAAATGGTCGAACTCATAGAAGTAGAGAGCAGGACGGTGGTTGCCAAGGGCTGGAGGAGGAGAAATGGAAAGTGATGGTCAAAGGTACAAAATTTTAGTTATGCAAGATAAATAAATTCTAGAGACCTACTACAGCATAGTGCCTATAGCTAACAATACTGTCTTGGATACTTAAAATTCGCTAAGAGGGCAGATCTTCTATTAAGTGCTCTTACCACAAAATAATAATGATAATAAAAAAGGGGGTGGGAGGAAGCTTGGGAAAGTGATGGGCATGTCTATGGCCTTGGTGGTGGTGATGGTTTCACAGGGGTATACTTATGCCTAAATTCATCGAGTTGGATACATTAAATATGTACAGCTCTTTATATGTCAATCATACCTCAATAAAGTGGTCTTAAAGGAACAAATACTTTTTATACTCCGTCTTTAAAATAATAAAAGGGAAAGTCTTATTCTTTTCATAATTATATGGCTCTTGGGAAAGATACAGTAAGCAGGTGTACCCTGCATGGCTGAGAAACTGAGTGGAAGTGTGATTTACTTTTATTTATTTATTTTTTCTAAGATGGAGTCTCACTCTGTTGCCCAGGGTGGAGTGCAGTGGTACAATCTTGGCTCACTGCAACCTCCGCCTTCCGGGTTCAAGCGATTCTCTTGCCTCAGCCTCCCGAGTAGCTAGGATTACAGGCGCATACCACCACGCCTGGCTAGTTTTTTGTATTTGTAGCAGAGACGGGGTTTCACCATGTTGGACAGGCTGCTCTCAAACTCCTGACCTCAAGTGATCCACCCACCTCAGCCTCCCAAAGTGATGGGATTATAGGTGTGAGCCACCCACCTCAGCCTCCCAAAGTGCTAGGATTACAGGCGTGAGCCACCGCCCGGCTGGAAGTGTGATTTATGTGTTTGATTTACTTCCATTGTTCTGTAACCCATTCATTCACTCATGTCTTGCACCCACTTTCATAACATGAGTTTAATAATTTGTAGCAATTGTCCTAAGGCTGAGTATTGGCTTCTATAGAACTCGTTTCCTTTAAGTACCTTGAAAAAGAATAGATGGAATTTGTAAGGCTTTTATGACTCTACATTAGAGGATGTTCAATGACTTATTATATTCCTTAATGGCACATTTTTGAAAAAAAGTTTGTTTTGTTTGCTTGCAAACATTCCTCTTATAGTAGCCTCAAATTAATGTATATTACTTTGTATATGAAAAGCTTCCCATCAAAACACTGAAATGCCACATGACGGTACAGAGGCCCTTACGATTACCTCTCACCTCAGCGGTATTCATGCTGATGACTCATTAACATCAGCATTAATGCTATTCTCTGTGTAAAGCTCATATTTTCATATAATCTGTTCCCAGAGAATCATCACTGTTAGCAAACAACAACGGTGCCAACAATAATAATAAATGAGACTAGTGGGGCTGCCAAAAAGGGCAGAAGATTCATGAGACTGGGATGCCATGGGACTTACAGCATGATGTCAACAGACACAGAAGATGAACTTTATTTATGATGGAAAAATCAAAAGGGATGGTTGTAGAAAGCAGGAATTATGACTGATGTCCCCAGAAGTGCCCCATGGGTACACAGGGGTTGGATGAAGCCCAGCAAGTGCAGTGAGGACTCTGCCAGGCACAGGATGCTCCCTTTGACTCTTGCTGGAGTTTTGATTTATTTCCTCCCCCACTATCTCCCCTCCATCCACCCCCATGACTGTTCTCAAGGATGACTGTGTGTTCACCCACTCACCAGATGCAACTAAATGGCACATGGTCAAAACGCCGATTAACAAAATGTTTGAACATATCTCATTTTTAAGCTGACAGATACCAATAAGGGTACCTGGGGAGGAGTGTATGGTCACAAATCTGTGGGCACACGTGTGTGGTGGACACATGTACATGAGTATACATATGTGCAAGTCTGTTACATCTGCATGTGTGTATTACTCCAGTGAGATACACTTTTGTCAAAAATGACATTACCAGGGGCACAGGGATGCCCTCTAGGACCTTGCTACTAAAATTGTGACCCTTGAACCTGGAGCAGCAGCAGCACACCACCTAGGAGCTTTTCATTTTTTAATTTTTTTACTTTTTAAACTTTTTTTCGTAGAAACAGAGTCTCAGTATGTTGCTCAGGCCAGTCTCAAACTCCTGGGCCCAAAGTGCTGGGATGATGGACGTGAACCACTGCACCCTGCCTTTGGAGCTTTTTAGAATGCAGACTCTCAGGCCCCAACTCATACCTACTGAGCCAGAACCTGGATTAACAAGATCCCTTACGCTTCATGTGTAGATTAAGTGTTGATCTAGAACAATATTTTTCAAAGAGCTTATTCGTGACTCATGAAATCATTTAGCCTGTTGTGACCAGCACTTAAAAGAAAGACAGAGAGAAGGAAATGGAAGAGGAGATAGAGAGGAGAATCAAAGCAAATCAAGAGGCGAGAACACATTGCACACAGAAAGGATCCGTATTGCTTCATGGACGTGTGGTTTCCAAGGTCACCATAGCAGAAGAGGAGAAAAGGAGGCCAAACACTGGCTCTTTATTGCCTCAACCTGAAAGTGATGCACCCACAGGCCATTGGCCAGAACTAGTCATGTGGATTCAGCCTCACTGCAAGGAAAGCTGGGAAATAGAGGCACTCATGGACGTTTGGTGAATACTAACAACTCTTCCACAGCCTGTGTGCTGGTTTTGTCTGTGAGGGCTGCTGTGGGATCACTAGCCAGGGAAGTAGTGCCTGGCACAGTCTGCCCTCATTAAATGTTTAGTGAATGAATAAATGTATATTTCCCATTAATTGAGATAGATGCGGAGATTACAAAAACAAATCTGATGTGGTTCCTGTTTTCGATGAGCTCTCAGGATTCTTCTTTCTTTCCCTCGTGTTTTAGGGGGAAACTGGCCTCTCTCCTCTTCAAAAGCTCCACTTGCCACCTGTGCCTCCCCTAAGAATGTCCTTTGGCCCTGTCTCCATCAACCGTCACTGTCTCCCTGACGACCCCCTTCCTCTCCACTGACAGGTTACCTCCTCTTGCTCTCCAAGCAGCCTCACATCTTCTCAAACCTGAAATAACCTCTCAGCATTGCTTCCCCTTCATCACTTTGCAACTCCCAATCACCCTCAACATACCACACCCAGGATCCTGGCCTCATCACTCGTACTTGATTAAAAATGCTTCCTCAAAGCTACTGGTGACTTCCTAATTTTTTAAACAGCTTCACTGAGCTGTATGTTTCATATACCATACACTTCACCAATGTGAAGTTCACAATTCAATGGTCTCTAGCATGTTTCTCTCACCACAAAAAGGAACCCCACACCCTTTAGCTTTCACTCCCCATACTCCCATCCTCCTCCCCTGACCCTAAACAACCGCTAATCCGCTTTCCTTCACTGTAGATTTCCCTGCTCTGTACTTTCATATGAATGGAATCATACCATGTATGGCCTTTTGTGACTGGCTTCATCCACTCGGCTTAATGTTTTCCAAGTCCATCCATGCTGTGGCATGTGTCAGCACGTCATTCCTTTTTATGGCTGAATAATATTCCACTGTGTGGAAAGACCACATTTTGTTTATCCATTCATCCATTGATGCACATTTGGATTGTTACACTTTTGGACTATAATGAATAGTGCTGTTATGAACATTCATGTATACGTTTTTTGTGAACATGTTTTCAATTCTCTTGGGTATATAACAGGAGTGGAATTGCTGGGTCATATGATAACTGTTTAATCATTTGAGCAACTGCCAGACTTTTCTAAAGTGGCTGCACTGCTTTACATTCTTATCCATGTGTGGAGGGTCTAATTTCGCTACATTTTTTTTTTTTGAGACAGAGTCTCACTCTTGTCGCCCAGACTGGAGTGCAGTGGCGTGATTTCGGCTCACTACAGGCTCCCCCTCTCGGGTTCACACCATTCTCCTGCCTCAGCCTCCCGAGTAGCTGGGACTACAGGCGCCCGCCACCACGCCTGGCTAAGGTTTTGTATTTTTAGTAGAGATGGAGTTTCACCGTGTTAGCCAGGATGGTCTCGATCTCCTGACCTCGTGATCCGCCCGCCTCGGCCTCCCAAAGTGCTGGGATTATAGGCATGAGCCACTGCGCCTGGCCTAATTTCACTGTATTTTGCCAACGCTTGATATTATCTAATTTTCATTCTAACCGTTCTAGTCGGGGAGGGAAAATTGTAGCTCGTTGTGGTTTAAATTTGCATTTCCCTGATAACTAGGGACTTTCTAATTTTTTTTTTAAAGTAGAGATGGCATCTCACTCTGTCACCCAGACTGGAGTGCAGTGGCACAGTAACAGCTCACTGCAGCCTCGACCTCCTGGGCTCAAGCAATCCTTCCACCCCAGCCCCCTGAGTAGCCGGGACTACAGGCATACTGAGCTAATGGACTTCCTAATTTTTTAAATCACTATCTTCTTATTTCCTATCTAACATAGTCTTCCTTTAGCTTTTCACACCACTCTTGATGCAATTCAGTTCCCTCCCTTATGCAGCTCCTGAGGTCTGCTCCTCTCTGGCATTCCCTTCCTGACTTTCTGGCCTCCTTCACGGACTCTTATTTCCACCCCACAAATTCTGTTGCTCCCAGGGCTTCGTCCTCAGCCCTGTTCTTGCTCTGCTGTGACCCTGCTAACCCTGTTCACCCCTGTGCCTCTCACCAGCACCCACATGGAAGACCCTTGAATGTAGACACTTCCCAGGTCTTAGTCCCCATTCCACTTCACACTATCCTTCATAGAAACTCAATGAAAAGTTCAATCCAATATCAATAAAGTGTCTATGACTAAGATGCACAGAAAATATTGTATACTATAATTAGTAATAATGATTCCTTCTTTCAAGTATCAGTTAAAAATAAGTAGATGGGCCAGGCGCGGTGGCTCACGCCTGATATCCCAGCACTTTGGGAGGCCAAGGCTGGCGGATCACTTGAGGTCAGCAGTTTGAGACCAGCCTGACCAACATGGTGAAACCTCCTCTCTACTAAAAATACAAAAATTAGCCAGGCGTGGCGGCGGGTGCCTGTAATCCCACCTACTAGGGAGGCTGAGGCAGGAGAATCACTTGAACCCAGGAGGCAGAGGGTGCAGTGAGCTGAGATCGTGCCATTGCACTACAGCTGGGTGTCAAGAGCAAAACTCCATCTCAATAAATAAATAAATAAATAAATAAATAAATAAATAAAATAAAAAATAAGTAGATGACTTGAGCCCAGAATCCCAGCTACTTGGGAGACTGAAGCGAGAGGATTGCTTGAGGACAGGCGTTCAAGATCAGCCTGGTCAACATAGTGAGACCCTGTCTCTACGAAAACTTTTTAAAAAAAAATTAGCCCAGCATGGTGGCACATACCTGTAGTCCCAGCTACTCAGGAGGCTGAGGCAGGAGGATTGCTTGAGCCCAGGAATTTGAGACTGTAATGAGCTATGATCATACCAATACACTCCACCCTGGGAAACAGAGAGAGATCCCATCTCTGAAAAACATTAAAAGGTAGATGGACACTAGTAATATTGAAAGAAATTCCCAGGGAAAAAGCATTGTATTATAGCATATTGTTTTCTCAGGTTCTTTATGGTATAAGGAGGCAGTTCACATTCTAGGCCAACGGTGAGTAAACTCGTGCTCAAAGAACCAGAGACTAAATATTTGAGGCTTTGCTGGCCACAAAGTCTCTGCCATAACTAATCAGCTCCACCTTTGTAATACAAAAGCAGCAGACGATGTACAAATGAATATGCATGACTATATATTTTTATCTTTTTTACTTTTTGCAAATTTTCAATACAGATAGGGTCTCACTATGTTGCCCAGGCTGGTCTCGAACTCCTGGGCCCAAGTGATCCTCCCACCTCGGCCTCCCAAAGTGCTGGGATTACAGATGTGAGCCACTGTGCCCAGCCATCATGACTATATTCTCATAAAACTTTAAAAACATCTGGCCAGCCAGTAGGCAGCACTTTATGGATCCCTGATTTAGCCATCACACCTGCGCTATACCCACGGGAGGAGGGCAAAGAACAGAAATGTACACCGTCTCCATTTAGGAACATTTCTACTTACTTGTTATTCCCTGGAACTAGTTACAAGGCCTTACCAATCTGCAAGAGTCAGAGACATACAATCTTTCGGCTAAGTGACTAGCAGCAGCTAACTATTGGGTAGGAGAACTACTACTGAGGAAAAAGGGGAGATTAGACATTAGGACTTTAGAAGTCTCCATATCAGTTAGCTAATTTTACAAGAGTGTGTATAACACCCCAAAACTCAGTTGCCCACAGTAAGCCTTTATTTCTCACTCACACATCTGCAGTGTGGCTGTGTTTGGCTGATCTTGGAGGGGCCCAGCTGGGTTTGAGTCCAAGCTGGGTTTTGGGTCTATGCTGGCTCCATGAGTCTCTCCTCCTCCCTGGACCAGTATGTATCCAAGGCATATTTTGGTTGAGGTGAAAGGCAGGAGTGTAAGAGGGGCATGGGAAACATGCAAAACACTGTAAGGCTTACGCAGTGGCCCACCGTCACTCTTACCTACATTTAATTGGCCAAGTGACATGGTTGAGGCCTGTACCAATAGAGCAGGGCATTATCCTCTTCCCATGGACGTTGATAGAGAAGGAGTGAATATTTAGTAAACAATAATGTAATCCACCATGCTCTTCCTCAACTAACAAAGGTGATTAAACATACTTATATCCACAGGATAACCCTGGTTTTTCCTGAATCCCTACGGTGTGTGTGCACACAACATAAGCGCACATGCACACACACACACACAAACAATAACAGAAAGCAGAAGATGACATATTCTAAAATCAAGAATATTAGATTACCATCACAACACTCCTCTATAGCTCCTGCATAACTAGTAATACTTTTCCTAGATTCATTTTACATTGAAATAAAGTGAGAACAGGTACTTTTATTAAATAATCAAACCCACTTATGTTGATTTAGTTTCTTTCTTTTCTTTTTTTGAGATGGAATTTCGCTCTTGTTGCCCAGGCTGGAGTGCAATGGTACAATCTTGGCTCACTGCAACCTCTGCCTCCTGGGTTCAAGTAATTCTCCTGCCTCAGCCTCCCGAGTAGCTGGGATTACAGGCATGCGCCACCACACCCGGCTAATTTTGTGTTTTCAGTAGAGATGGGGTTTCTCTATTTTGGTCAGGCTGGTATCGAACTCCCAACCTTAGGTGATCTGCCCACCTCGGCCTCCCAAAGTGCTGGGATTACAGGCATGAGCCACCACGCCCGGCCCGATACAGTTTCTTTTCTTAAGTCTCTCCAGTCACCTTTCCCTAGGCTTGAGGATTGGCATAGCAGGACAGAAGTTACGAGAACAATGCAGGCCCTGAAGAGAGGGCTCCTCTCCTTCAAGCTGTGGGGCATGTAAGGACATGGAGACGAGGACCAGTGGCAACAGAGTTCTTGGCAGAATTTCTTAAGTAGAAAGCATTTCTTATTTAGGGAAAATAAGATGAAGGTGCACAATGCCACTTCGTATCAAGGGTGGTGATGGAGCGGGGCCCACCCTGCACTAGATCCAGCCAGTTCTCCACATGTTCTAATTGGAAACCTGTGCCCCACAGTAGCAGATGTTTCCCAGCTCTTCCAACCACATTCCCCACAAAGTACTCTCTACCCTACAGGAAGGAGAACAGAAAGGACGGGAAGTGAGCTATTGGCTGTCAGGACACAAAGGCAGCTGCAACCTAGTTGAGGAGATCAGAAAGACCTACGTGATCCCCATCCAGCTAGAAAATGCTTGGGAGAGCAGGAGCTACCAAGCTCCCTTTCACTGAGCTTCCTCCACTCTCCCCTGAAATATCCTCTTCCTACCTCTCAGATTGCCACCCTTTCCCCATATGTGTCTGACAGCCGAAGTTTCCTGTGACTCAGCTCACAACATGACACTACCCCCGCCCTCCTTCTCAGCTACTTAAAAAGGCAAAGATTTTAACAGAGTCAGGTGGAAGAATATGCATCAACCCCAGCTGTAAGGATGAAGAAGCAAGCCAATGCTCCCATCACCCTTGCAATATCATGCATTACCATGATCCCTTCCCCTTCATTCACCATCACACACACACACACACACACACACACACACACACACACACACACACTGGGAGGGGCTGCAACCACTACCCCTTGTCACTCCCCAAAGGACCCACCGACCACCCCTGTCTTAGGCTCTGGCACACTGTCACTCCTACCCACATGTCTGATTATAGGCATGTCATCACAGCTGCTCTCAGTGAACAAGTTCATGTACACAGACGTCTCCATCTCCTCCTTCTGGGAGTAAAGCTCTCTAGGGATCCTTCTGCTCATCTACATGCCTTATAACTGACCCCCACGGTCGCTGTTCCAAACGTACTATGCCCCCAAATAGTAAACATGTTCTCTTCCCTGCTCTCACCTTTTCTCCCAGCAAGTCACCTCTGGTACCCTTCCTGATATTAGAGATGTTGTCCTTGTTCCAACGTCATGTCTCCAGTGCAGAAAAGGGCTTTTCAGGTCACCTTTGATGACCCCCAGACAGCCACCTGGTGTTCCTCCTTGAATCAAGGAATTTGCCTGCAGCAGCATGAAGGGGAATAAAAGAGTGAGGTGAGATTGGTGGGCTCCAGGTTTCCCACGTGTGACTCAACTAATCCCCAAACCTAAATTACAGGCTGGTGTGTAGAGCCTTCACCATGAAGGCCCTTGGCAAATATTTAGATTGGTTTTAAATAATCAAACAATTATTTATAGGAAGGCATAATAATTATATATATGTTCTCAGGATGAGTGGATAGCTGCTAGGTTTTCTTTCTTTTTTTAGATTGAGAGATATAATACATATACAAAAAGAGCAAATTAAAATATATGGTAGAAAGCAGGGCTCAACAAACTTCTTCTGTAACTAGCTAGATAATAAATACTTTCATCTTTGGCGGGCCATACATTCTGTCATAACTATTCGATTCTGCCACTGTAGAGGGAAAGCGGCTATAGACAAGAGGTAAGTGAATGGGTGTGGCTGTACTCCAGTAACACTTCACTTACAAAAACAGTCAGCAGGCCAGATTTGGCCTGTCTGGCCGTAGCTTTCCTATAGTGTCTTAGTCCATTTATGATGCTATAAGAAAATACCACAGACTAGGTAATTTACAAATAACAGAAATTTATTTCTCACCATTCTGGAGGTTGGAAATTCCAAGATCAAAGTACTGGCAGGTTGGGTGTGCCTGGTGTGGACCTGGTCTCTGCTTTCAAGATGGCGGCATGGACACTGTTTTCTTCGGAAGTGAGAAAAGCTGCATCTTCACTTGATACAACAGGTAGAAGGGGTGAACTCATCCCCTCAAGCCCTTTAATAAGGCACTAATCGATTCATGAGAGCACAGCCCTCATGGCCTAATCACCTCCTGAATGCTCCACCTCTTCATACTGTTGCTTTGGGTATTAAGTTTCAACATGAACTTTGAAGGAGACAAAAACTTTCAAACCATAGCACATAGAGTTGAAAACTCATAAAACAAATACAAAAGCAATCACTAAGCCAAGAAAGAGAACATGGCAAGTACTCACAGGACTTAGACATAAGAATAGTAGAATTCCAGAGAAGGTTGGATGCTCAACTCCAGTAGGTTTACTATGCCAAAGTCAGGATCCTAATTGGGAAGGAATAGGAGCCTGACACTGGAAATAGGGATATCTGTGTTGACGCACTAAAAAATCTTGCATTATTAGATTGCTCTGAACCTCCTGGGTCTGCAGAAGTGGCCCGTTCTTCCCTGTTAAAGGTCAGTGCTGCTTCCATGCTTGAAGATGTAAAGAAGATCTGGAGGCTTCTGCTTTAAAGGAAAGCATGCACCCTTCTCAGGATCAATCCCCTCTTCCCCAGTCCCAAGACCAGTAACTAGGGTCAAGCTACAACATAATCTGGCCAGGCAAGTGCTGGGCCTCTTAAGGGAAGGAAAGAACCGTAGGCAAAGGAACTGCAGGACCTTGCCAACAAGTACTTGCAGGACAGTTCTGCAGATGGCCTTGGACCAACCCAGTTCTCTCCTCTTTCTTACTTGCAGTTCTCAGGAAAAACCATAGAATGTGCTGGGAACACAACAATGTGAGATAAGGAGAAGCTGGCTGGAAAGGCCTGGGCTCTGTTCCAGTCCCCCCTACCCCAGAAACAGGATGTCCTTCAATGCCTTATTCCAGTGAGTCATGTTGCCCTGGGGCATAAAACCCAGGTTGCACTTTCTTCCATGGCCCTTTGGCTGCAGTCCAAGTGGAGCATACACACCACAGCAAGACTCCAATCCAACCTCAGGGGGCTTTCCTGAGCCCTGGGGATTAGCTTCCAATGAATCCTGGGCTTCCGTTGTCCCTTGCTTCCTATGAGTAAGTAACAAACCCTCTTCATGTAATTTATATGTGGGTGTTCTGTCTTACCAGATTCAGACAGTGTGGTAACTAGAGCACAGTGAACTTGCTTCACAGCACTGGCAGGAGCTGAAAGAGGAAACATGGGCTGGATCCCAAAGGTGCTCATTGAGAGCTGTGCAACAGAAGCCTGGGAGGGCGAGTTTATTGATACGGGAGCCCTCTGCTGTGACACAGGATCTAACACCGAGGCAAGGCCCCTGGGAGACAAAGCTAACGTGCTGCTACAGATGAAGCCTGGGGAAAGTGCCTGTCACCCTGCAGGAAGTGCAAATGCTGCAAATGCTGTGGAAAATGGCAGATGAGGGGAACATAAGACCCAGAAGGAGATATGCTAGAGGGTGTGCTCTACTCATCAGCTGACTCTGCCTTGTGAGAGGGCCTCGAAGAGGCTCCATCCTTCAAGGAGATAAGGAAAGTGCCGATGAGAAGGTCACCAGCATAACCGAGAAGCTCAGTGGGGGCCGTCCTCTGAGGCCAGCCATGACCATAGGAGAAGCTACTCGGGATTGAGACCCAGAGCGGGAAATGACTACGGAGCAGGTCTCAGCTTTGGTGTACACAGCCCTGTCCCTTGGGCTATAAAATCTGGAAGACCCTACAGTATTAGAGATATCTGTGATGTGGCAAAAACACCACGAGGAGAGTCTGTGCTTTGTTTCCCCACAATTCTACACTCTGTGGGTTGAGAGGTCTCAGGTCTCAGAGGGACGATGCAGAAAGACACAGAAAATGTCCCATTAAACTTCAAGCTACAGCTGACCTGTTGCCCATTCATTTGAGCGTCTTGTGCCGAGAGATTAGAAGGCAAGAAAAAGAGTCAAGATCCCGCCAGAGGTGACTAACCCTGATGATCAGGAGGAGGCCGGACTGCTGTTACACCATGGGGATGCGAAGGATAAGTGAGACACTGAGCAACCCATTCGGGTGATCTCGGTACCCTCTTTCCCAGCCTTTGTTTTTTTTTTTTTTTGAGACAGAGTCTCGCCCTGTCGCCCAGGCTGGAGTGCAGTGGGGTGATCTCAACTCACTGCAACCTCCGCTTCCTAAATTCAAGTGATTCTTCTGCCTCAGCCTCCCGAGTGGCTGGGATTACAGGTGTGTGCCACCATGCCCGGCTAATTTTTTTGTATCTTTAGTAGAGATGGGGTTTCACCATGTTGGCCAGGCTGGTCTTGAACTCCTGAGCTCGTGATCTGCCTGCCTTGGCCTCCAAAAGTGCTGGGATTACAGCCATGAGCCTCCATGCCCAGCCTCTTTCCCAGTCTTAACAGTAAATGGACAAGAAAGTAAGCCGTGGCCTGAGAAGGACGAGGTGACTAGAGGCTTAGAACACACAGGGTTGAGGGCCTGGGTTACCTTCCCAGATGAGCCGCCAAGACCAGCAAAGGAGCTAGCCACAGGTGCAGAGAATCTAAGCTGGAAAGTGGAGGGAGACAGTGGGTACCAGCTGTGGCCTGGAAACAAGCTGCAGCAGAAGGGGCCAAACCTCATCCCATTAACCCATCAGGAAAAGAGACCAGCCAGAAACCTGGAAGAGTAGCTCCAGATGGCAAGGGCTTACTGCAGTGGAAGGGTGGCCTGCAGTGGACACGGTGCTGTGCCGCCCATATCCCACTTCAGGACCAGTGCACTCACTGCTCTGGTTGCCAGCTTACAGATGAGTCATTGTCTAGAAACTGCCCTCAACCTAAGGAAGCTTCTTTCTCAAAGCTACATGCCTTCCCTGGGGTCAGCCTACCTCTAATGACTGGTCAACGTTGGAATATAAAGATCGGGACCTCCTAACTCAACTGGGATAACTGTGAAGGGTGACTTCAGACCCAGATTTCCTGAGAGGACCAGCTGAAGCAACACATGTGCTCACCTCAAGGTGCTCTTCCTGAGAATACTCCTTATGAAACTTCGTGCCACAAATATCAGAGTCTCGGAATCTTTTCCGGAGGCACCCGGCGTATGGAGATCTGTTCCTGGGCTCTCTGTTCTGTTCTGTTGGTTTACTTATCTATCCTTGTGCCGACATCATGCTGTCTTAGTCACTATAGGTTCACTACAATCTCTGTTAGAGCATGTGCTCTCGCCTTGTTCTTCTTCAAGTCACTTGGCGAGTCGTGGCTCTTTGTAGTTTTATCACTTTTTTTTAGAATCAGCTTCTCAGTTTCTACAAAAAGCCCCATTGGGATTTTGCTTATAATTGATCTAATGGATCAATTTGGAAAGAATAGGGGGCAGTATTTTTAATATTGAGTCTTTTACCCAGTGAATTTGGTATCTTTATGTAGGTATTCCTGAAGATCTCTTAGTAAAGTTTTATCATTCTTACCATAAGGTAAAATGGTAGAAATGATAAAACTTTGCTAAGATATATTGTTGACAGAAACATATTTGATTTTTTTACACTGATTTTATATCCATCAACTTTGCTAATGATTTACAGGTTATGTTGTGCATTTTCTCTTTCTTTCTCTCTCTTTTCTTTCTTTTTTTTTTTTTTTTTATTGAGACAGGGTCTGGCTCTGTTGCTCAGACTAGAGTGCAGTGGCACAATCTTGGCTCACTGCAACCTCTGCCTCCCAGGCTCAAGCGATTCTCAAACCTCAGCCTCCCGAGTAGCTGGGACTACAGGCCTGCGCCACCACGCCCAGCTAATTTTTTTGTATTTTTTGTAGAGATGTTGTTTCACCATGTTGTTCAGGCTTATCTCAAATTCCTGAGCTTAAGCTATCTGCCCGCCTCGGCCTCCCAAAGTGCTGGGATTATAGGAGTAAGCCATCATGCTGGGCCTTATTTTGCATTTTCTTTTTTCTTTTTTTTTTTTTTGAGATGGAGCCTCGCTCTGTCGCCCAAGCTGGAGTGCAGTGGTGAGATCTCAGCTCACTGCAACGTCCGCCTCCTGGGTTCAAGCAATTCTCCTGTCTCCGCCTCCCAAGTAGCTGGAATTACAGGCACGCGCCAACAGGCCCAGCTAATTTTTGTATTTTTATTAGAGACGGGGTTTTACCATGTTGAACAGGCTGGTCTTGAACTCCTGACCTCAGGTGATCCACCCACCTCGGCCTCCCAAAGTGCTGGGATTACAGATGTATTTTCCATTTTCTACACATGCAATGATAACATCCACAAATAATAACAGTTTTTTTTCTGCAATTCATTTATTTATCTTTCTTGTCTTAATGAACTAGATAGGCTATCCAGAAAAACATTGAGTAGCACTGAAAAAGGCTGAAGGTAAATGGAGAATAGCATAAGATATACCAGATTTTGTAAGGCCTTGTTGGCCGGAATAATGGTTTTAAATTTGTTTTAAATAAACTTAGAAAATTTTGATAGCTTTCTGTAGAGAAGTAATGAGTTCAGTATTTCTAAGACTTTTCCAACTTCTGGATGGATAATGAATTACAGGAGAATAAAGAGTGGGGGCCAATCTCATTCATGGACATAGACACAAAAAGCCTTTAAAAAATTGCAACAATGACCCAGAAAAGTATAGTATATAAAAGGTTTTTCCACAAAGTAGCTTAAAGTTAAACTCTAAATGTAATTTTATATTACTATAAAAATCATGCAATCATCTCAAAAGAAGAATAAAAAGCAAATAAAATGCTCACCAAGAATGTGAGTGTATGAATTTGAAATGGAAAGGAACCATCTCAATCTAATGAAAAGTTGCTATCAACACCTGTTACGGACAGCATTCTTAACAGCAAAATGTTAACAATATTTCTTGTAAGCTCTGACAAGACAATGTTGCCCACGATGACTGCTTCCATTTGTAGCTGTACTGGTCGCCTTAGGTAGCACAGTAACAGAAGAAAAATAAATAAGAGGTGTAAAGACCAAGAGGTGAAACAAGCCCATTATTATTTGCAGATGATACAATCTTTTACCTAGAAAGCCCCAAATAATTTAAAGACAGGAAATTAGACATGACGAGAGAATTTAGCAAGGTGACAACACATAGGATTAATATCTAAAAACCAGCAGCATTTCTTTACTCTAGCAACAGTTAAAACTGTGTGTCCAATCTTGTAGCCACTAGCCAATGTGGCTATTAGGCACTGAAAATGTAACTGGTTCAAATTGAGATGAGCTGTAAGTGTAAAATATATATCAGATTATAAAACCTTGGTACGAAAAAAAAAAAAAGAAAACAAAATACTTCATTAATAATACTGATATAGGCCAGGCACAGTGGCTCAGGCCTGTAATCCCAGCACTTTGGGAGGTAGAGGCAGATGGATCACCTGAGCCCAGGAGTTCAAGACCAGCCTGGGCAACATGGTTAAACCCCATCTCTACAAAATAATAATAACAATATTGATATAAATTACATGTTTAAATGATATTTTTGATATATTAGATTAAATTAAAACAGAAAATTTTGAATTATACCCATGGGGAGCTTCTAGAAGAACAGAGAGAGGACCTTTACACATTCTCTCCCAAAAGCAGCAACTAAAAAATAAATAGCAAATTACTAAAAACAATTACTTTGGAACTCTGGAAATTAAGCAAAGGCATACAACAAGCTGAAAATCATTTATTCAAGAGAAACTATTGAACCTTAGTAAGATCAACAAAGTGTGTGACACATCGTCTTAGAACTGCTCCCGTTCTCACTTCCCCCTGCCCTTGCCCCAGCTCCATGGTGCAGTGTTGGTGGGACTGGCTGCCTTACTGGTGCCAAAAGGGGCTGAAATGATTTGGAGCTTCAAGGAAAAGCTCTGTTTCCTTGGTTTTTTGAAAACAATAATATTTGGTAGCAATCAGAGGCCGGCAGAGCATGGAATCTCCTAAGGCTGTGATAACAGTTGGGGCAAGCAAGCAATCAGCAAAACATTTAAAAGGGAGATCTAGGGAACAAGACAGGCCCCAGTTTATACTCGCATGTGACCGACCTCGACACCCCGTACAAGCAGGAAGTGAAAGCTGAGGCAGATTTGTTAACCTGTTGAACGTTGAACACATTCCTCAACCCACACACAGGTTCCCTGGGCAATGGGTGGAAGCCTGGCCAGCTCAAATCGTTTAATCTTGTGTTAAAGAAAGAGCTGATGAAAGGGTCATCCCTTTAAGTATCAAGCAATTCTTAAAAGGGACAACCTTGCTTGTGAAAATAAAAAGAAACTCTGGCCCGGGAGCGGTAGCTCATGTCTGTAATCCCAGCACTTTGGGAGGCTGACGTGGGCAAATCACCTGAGGTCGGGAGTTCGAAACCAGCCTGGCCAACACGGTGAAACCCCGTCTCTACTAAAAATGCAAAAATTAGCCAGGCGTAGTGGTGCATGTCTGCAATCCCAGCTACTTGGGAGGCTGAGGCAAGAGAATTGCTTGAACCCAGGAGGTGGAGGTTGCAATGAGCCAAAACCATGCCACTGCACTCCAGCCTGGGCGACAGAGTGAGACTCCGTCTCAAAAAGAAAGAAAGAAAATAAAAAGAAGGCCGGGCACGGCGGCTCACGCCTATAATCCCAGCACTTTGGGAGGCAGAGGCAGGCGGGTCACAAGGTCAGGAGATCGAGATCATCCTGGCTAACACGGTGAAACCCCGTCTCTACTAAAAATACAAAAAATTAGCCAGGCGTGGTGGCAGGTGCCTGTAGTCCCAGCTACTTGGGAGGCTGAGGCAGGAGAATGGCATGAACCTGGGAGGCGGAGCTTGCAGTGAGCCGAGATCTTGCCACTGCACTCCAGCCTGGGCAACAGAGCAAGACTCCGTCTCAAAAAAATAAAATAAATAAAATAAAAATAAATTCTGAATTGTAATGGATGATTTTTATGACACTTGCCACTGCTATCTTTTGAAGTGGGTTTTGAAGAATTTTATTCTTTTACATAGATTTTGATCAAGAGATGTAAAATAATACTGAAGAATGGAAAGTTATTCCTTGAAAGATGGTATTATGTGCTTCAATGGATCAAATTGGAAGATCAGTTTTCAGTTATTAATTTTATGATAACAGATGTTCAATATATATGCAGTATGGATATATAGCTGTATATGTGTGTATACATATATAGCTCATATTAATGTTGAGAGTATTTTCTCATTAATGAGTTAATAGACAAGAGAATGAAACAAGTTGATACGACCACTGTAGAAACTATGTAACAATGCAAATGGAACGTAGATTGTAACTGCAAGGAATTTTATAAGCAAATTCTGCAAAACTAGGAACTGTTAAGGAGAGCCAAATCATCAGGGAAATACAATTAAAGAGAGAGCACTTAGATACTTAGAATTTATTTCAGATAGGAGGCCGGGCACCGTGGCTCACACCTGTAATCCCAGCACTTTGGGAGGCTGAGGCGGGCAGATCATGAGGTCAAGAGATCGAGACCATCCTGGCCAACAAGATGAAACCCGTCTCTACTAAAAATACAAAAAATTAGCCGGGCGTGGTGGCCGGTGCCTGTAGTCCCAGCTACCCGGGAGGCTGAGGCAGGAGAATGGCATGAACCTAAGAGGCGGAGCTTGCAGTGAGCTGAGATCGCGCCGCTGCACTCCAGCCTGGGCGACGAGCAAGACTCTGTCTCAAAAAAAAAAAAAAAAAAAAACAGGATTGACTGTGTATAAATATTTATTGGGGTGAACATATTTCCACAACATACTGAGAAGAAAAGTTATAACATCAAACTTAACTAAAATCTTGAAAGTGTTACCAAAACTAAGGCTGATTTGATAAAGTTTTATTGGAAGCCAAATGTGAGGATTGACCTGGGAAGACACACCAAGAAGGCTGGCACATTCTAGAGTGTGCTACAAGGTGGAAGGCTTTTATAAGAAAGTTTAGGAGAAGGGAGTGGACTCCTTCCCAGAGGAGTTGTACCCTCTGCATTGGAGGGTACAGTATAGAGATTACAATCATTGGCTACAGATGACTGCATGCAGGCTACAATGTTCTACGTGCAGGACAATCAGTAAAACTTCAGGATTCAGAAACAAATCAGTGTCTTGTTCAACGTCAGTGGGTTATGCATTAATTAGTATGTCAAGAATCTGAGGAACTCACAAGAAGATTCTTTGCTCAGGACAGAAGTTCATCAGGAACCACAAGTCCTCCCCAGGCAGGTTAATTTGGAAGCCTGCCAAATATGACCTGTAGGTATTAGAAGAATTCCCTTCGCAAACAGTGATAAGGCAAGGATGCCCATTATCATTACTTCTAAGGGAGACAAGGTGGTAAAATAGGAAAAAGAATATAGCCCTTGGATCTAGAAAAACTCTCACTGGTGGTGAACTGGAATGAGTTCCAGGTGGAGGTGAAACATTGGCTGATGCAGTAGCTGGAGGCACTCGAATAGCATGGGGGCAATGGCAATTATAAGAATTGTGTAAGAGTTGTCTGCTTTTGGTTATTTTTAAAACTTTGAGGCCAGGCTCAGTGGCTCACACATGTAATCCCAGCACTTTGAGAGGCCAAGGTGGGCAGATCATTTGAGGTCAGGAGTTCGAGACCAGCCTGACCAACATGGTGAAACTCTGTCTCTACTAAAAATGCAAAAAAATTAGCTGGGCGTGGTGGTGCATGCCTGTAGTCCCAGATACTCAGGAGGCTGAGGCAAGAGAATTGCTTGAACCCAGGAGGCAGAGGTTGCAGTGAGCCGAGATCATGCCACTGCACTCCAGCCTGGGTGACAGAGTGAAACTCCGTCTCAAACAAACAAACAAACAAAAAACTTTGAAGAAGGAAAATGACAAGCTCAGGTCAGTCAATTGTAAGTTAAAGCACATTGTAGAGACAGAAGGCCTGTTGCGGCCATAGGGAACATTGTGTTGAAAATCAGACCAAGGATTTAGCTGTCGGGTGGCAAAGCTGCAGAGGAAACGGAATGCCGAGCCTCAGTGGTCTCCTATTCCAAGTTCAGACCTCTGAGAAGCACATCTCCAGTGTGTTTCATATATTGTCCTTCCAATCTTTCCTCAAGTCACTTACTCAGTCGTACACGTGGCCTTGAAAATATGTAGGGTAGTTGTGGGTTTTTAAATATCCGCAAAAATGGTTTTGTAAATCGCGAGTTTTTTTCTCCACTCAACATTAAGTTTCTTAGGTCTGTTCATATGCTATACATAAATCTAGTTCATAGCTTTTAACCGATATGCAGTATCCATATATATTTTCTAGTTATTCATTCCCCTAATGATGGATCTCTACTTTGTTTCCAAGTTTTTCTTCCTATGACAAACAAAACTTCCATGAGCATGCTCACAATTTCCTCATGGAGTTCAATGAGACTCGCAGGAGGTTTTTATCCCATCCTTCACATGTCTGGCTTCCCCTTTTCCTTTAGCTTCAACTAAAACGTTACAGCTGCCAAGAGCCCTTTTCTGAGCAGCCCACCTAAAATAAGCCATCCTCAGTTATTCTTTCAGTCTCTAGTTTGTTTCTTTCATAGCACATGTAAAACATTGAAGTATTTTATTTATTTCCATTTTTTTCTCTCTCCCACTACATCCTAACCTCCATGGCGATAGGCACTTTGTCTTATATACTTTTGTATCTTTAGCGTCTAGAACAGTATGTGGCATACGTAAGTGCCCAATAAATACAGAAGGAAAGAAGGAAGGAAGGAGGGAGTCTGTCGGTCAGCTGGAGTGCAGTGGTACCATCTCGGCTCACTGCAACCTCTGCCTCCTGGGTTCAAGCAATTCTTGTGCCTCAGCCTCCTGATGTAGCTGGGATTACAGGTGTGTACCACCATGTCTGGCTAATTTTTCTAATTTTAGTAAAGACAGGATTTTGTCATGTTGGCCAGGCTGGTCTCAAACTCCTGGAATCAAGCAATCTGCCTGCCTCGGCCTCCCAAAGTGCTGGAATTAACAGGCGGGAACCACCATGCCCAGCCAAAAGGAGAGAGTTCTTGAAAGAAAATTTGAGAATGATTCAAAGGAACTTGGTTGGTTGGGACCTAAGGAGAGAAAGGCCAGTAAGAGATGACCCTATTTAATGGGGAATGATTTGGCACCTTCAGAATTGTGAATTCTGATACTAAATTTTAAGCTGTTTTCACTTCTGTGCTGTACCCACCCTCCAGTATCTCAGTCCCCTCTTATCGTCAGTGATATGTTCCAAGACCCCCAGTGGGTGCCTGAAACCACAGACAGTACTGAACTCAGTTGGCATCGATTGGAATACGTTTCTGTTCATGTCTCCCACCCACAAATGTAATCCCTTTTCCATCTTCACTAAGCACTCATCAGGCACTGTGGCTATAACTTATGCAGTTTGAGGTACAATAGCAAAACTAGCATGAATTTCTTTTTCCTTCACAATTTTACAAATAGAAGACTTGCTCTCGTTGTAGATCTTGGCAATCTCAGGATATGATTTTACTTTCTTTCCTTAAGTCGAGAACTTTCACCTTTCCACTTTAACGAAGCACTTTGCAGCCTCTCTTTGGCATACCCAAATTGCCAGCATCACTACTGTCGTGCATTGGGGCAAGAATTATTATGAATAAGGGGTACTTGAACACAAGCACTGTGATATCCTCCCAGTGGATCTGACAACCCAGATGGCTACTACGTGACTGTCAGGTAGGGGATACAGCAGGGATACACCGGACAAAGGGAGGATTCACCACACGGGCAGGAGGGAGCCAGGCAGTGCAAGATTTCACGAAACTACTCCCGACAGTGTGCAATTTAAAACATATGAGGTTTTATTTCTGGAATTGTCCATTTAATATTTTCTGACTGCAGTTGACTGCGGGTAACTAAAACCATGTGAGGTGAAACCGAGGATAAATGGGATGACATGGCTGGCTCTGGGTCCTCACCCAAATCTCATCCCAAATTTTAATCCCCTTAATCCCCACGTGTTGAGAGAGGGACCAGGTGGGAGGTGATTGGATCATGGGAGTGGTTTCCCCCATGCTGTTCTCCTGATAGCAAGTGAGTTCTCACGAGATCTGATGCCTTTATAAGTGTTTGACAATTCCTCTTTCACACACACTTCTCTCCCCTGTTGCCTTGTGAGGAAGGTGCCTGCTTCCTCTTCTGCCATGAGGCCTTCCCAGCCACGCAGAACTGTGAGTCAAACTTCTTTCCTTTATAAATTACCTAGTTTCCAGGAAGTTCTTTATAGCAGTATGAAAACGGACTAATACAAGGAGACTCTTGCATCCTCAAAGTTTTAAGCCTATTCCTCATTAAAGCTATGTATTAATAGGCTTTGGGAAATAAAGGACAAAGGATCTGTGTCCATAGTTGGCACAAAACTTTATGAAGTAAGGACAGCAATTGCAGATGAGATAGTATAGGGGAACTGAGAGATGGAACCAGAACAGAAATCAGAGTAAGCCGTGATGGGGGCTACCAGAAAAGTTAATAGCCTCTCCAGAAGTCATCAGAATACTCTGAAGGATGCTGTACTTCCTATAATTACATGAAATAGGACATTGATATTTATACATTAAAATAAAGAGTAACCCTAGAAGATTGAGAGACAAATATGTTACATATTTTCATACTTTTATGTAGGATTCTACAATGTTCCTTAAATATTTAGGATTTAGGTAAATATACTTTCTCTTTAATGGTTTCATTGGATGGTTGAATAGTAAACCCTAATTTACTAATGTGAATGAGAAATGGCCTCTAAAGCTGGGCGCGGTGGCTCACGCCTGTAATCCCAGCACTTTGGGAGGCCGAGGCGGGCGGATCACGAGGTCAGGAAATCGAGACCATCCTGGCTAACACGGTGAAACCCCGTCTTTACTAAAAAAAATACAAAAAATTAGCTGGGCATGGTGGCGGGCGCCTGTAGTCCCAGTAGTCCCAGCTACTTGGGAGGCTGAGGCAGGAGAATGGCATGAACCCAGGAAGCAGAGCTTGCAGTGAGCCGAGATCGCGCCACTGCACTCCAGCCTGCTCTTGCAAATGTCTCTGTATATCCAGGCTTGTCCAACACAGACCTATAGATTGTCCAAGACAATCACAGTCTTTAGTCTGATATCTGATCTACAATGATAACACAGTCAACCAGGAGACTTTTATAAGAAGGTTTAAATGCTGGGGGAAAATCACTAAGTAGATTCGTCAGAGAAAACACATCTGGGAAAATTTTTTCAATGTGATTTGAATCAGATCAGTGTTGGGGTACAATGACATAGGGTAATAAGTGACAGACATTAGGAAATCAATAAGACATTTTAGGGACTGCTCTGAAACCCAGGGACTCCACATCAAGCCAATAATTGAAGTTGACAGAAACAAATCTCAGTTCAATTCCTGATTTTCTATATCAATGGAGAGGGATGATATGGCTAACCCACTGCAGCTAAGAACCCATTACTGAGTCTGCTTAAATTGTTACTTCCTCTTTCAAGGGCGTTTGGGCATGAAATGGCAGGACATATGTTAAATTGTTGATATGCTACAGTTTCTAGAACCAATAGCATGAGAAGTCCTGAAGGTTACTGCAGTCTGTGTGGCAGTTGTATCCAAAAGGCACATTCGGCTGTGACTCAGCTCTGAGACCCTTTCCTTGGTGGTAGCAGAAACTGACAAGGAGGCTGGAAAGACCAGCCTATCATATTCCCCTACACAACCTCTGAGCTAAATCCCTCCCTGGACCCTTCCACTCCCCACCTCACATGTACACTGCGAAGTGTGCTGTGAACCAGAGAATGCTTCTAGCACCGTTTGGTGCCACTGAATCTTGCTTTATAGATCAGGAAACACTGGAGGCAGCTGGGATGTTACTCATCTGGGACAGTGTGGGATGCCTGGGAGACCCTTTGTGACTCAGTGTTAAATAGCAAATAAGGCACTGAGACTTTTAGTGACCTTGATGTGCTGGAGATAAACAGATCCATTGTGTCATCGTGAAAAGCCTTCAATGATATATTACCTTGGAGAGTGGTTTTTTAAGACACACCTTTGATCTTGCTGAAAGATGGACTCAGCATGTTTGCTCTAATGACTAAGTGAAGTAAGTTGCCACGTACTTTGTTGTGTAAGTTGAAGCAGTCAGTAGAAAGGATTAAATGCAAGAGCTTTGGAGCAAGCAAGATCTGGGTCTGAATCCTGATTCTGGGACTTGATAACTGATCTAGGGCAGATAACCAATGATCACTTGATAGGATTCAGATGATTAAATGAGATCATGTATATGAAGTGGTTAGCATAGAATGAGCATTTGATAGCTAAAAGCAAGTCTAATTAGTAAGTATCAGTAACCAGCAGCTAATAACAGAGGCTATAACTGCAAAGGTTTATACCTTTGTAAAGGTTACTCTATACGGTAATAAGCTTTTGTTTAATTTACACAATAATTTAGACTTTTACTCTAAAACCTGGCTCTCATATATGAGTGTTTTTGATGTCTGAAGTTAAGCATGTCGTATACATATCCTAGAATATGTGATAAGAATATTCCTTTGGTTGCTCTTCAAAGCTAAAAATTTCTTTTTTTTTTTTTTTTGAGACAGAGTCTTACTGTTACCCAGGCTGGAGTGCAGCGGCACGATCTCAGCTCACTGCAGCCCCGCCTCCTGGGTTCAAGCGATTCTTCTGCCTCAGCCTCCTAAGTAGCTGGGGGTACAGGCACCCGCCACCATGCCCAGCTAATTTTTGTATTTTTAGTAGAGACGGGGTTTCACCATATTGGCCAGGCTGGTCTCGAACTCCTGACCTCATGATCCGCCTGCCTCGGTCTCCCAAAGTGCTGGGATTACAGGCGTGAGCCACCGTGCCCAGCCAAAAAAATTCTTAAACTAGTTCTTTTTGTTTTTGCTTTTGAGACAGGGTTTGGCTCTGTCACCCAGGCTGGAGTGCAGTTGCACGATCTTGGCTCACTGCAACCTCTGCCTCCTGGGCTCAAACCATCCTCCCACCTCAGCCTCCCGAGTAGCTGGGACCACAGCCATGCACCACCATGTCCAGCCAATTTTTTTTCTGTATTTTTTGTAGAGATGGGATTTCACCATGTTGGCCAGGCTAGTCTTGAAATCCCAGGCTCAAGTGATCCACCCACCTCTGCCTGCAACCTGAGATTACAGGCGTGAGCCACTGTGCCCAGCCTTTGACTAGCTGCTTGGACACATCAGTTAACTCAAAGGTTTTTTTGGACATACTGTTCTTGTGTAGAGATGAAACCACTGGATTAGGCAGTGTTTCTGGTATTGGTAGTAGATTCTCAGAAATTTAGATAAACCTTTTCATTAAGTCTTGCCAGGTAACTGACTTAATAGGAAGGGTTGAGGCTGCCACGAAAGGGTGGTAAGCTAACTGGTGCAGTGATGCTGGGATGAAATGTCTACCTTTAACTTACTCACTTTGACCTTAAACCAACTGAGCAAAATGGCCCAAAGCAGCTTATGTAAACAACCTACAAATATTTACTGGGTTCTAGGCCTGAGATACCAAAGACAATATAAATCAGGTCCTTGTCTCCAAACTCAGCACAAAGCCACAGAGAGTGACTAGGGGCACCATAGTGCTGCATCACATAGCATAGAGGTGCTAGTCATTCTCAGCTTCCTTCTGATCACTACACACTTTTAAACATTAGACCTTTTGGTGGCATACAAATTAAAACACTAAAGCGAGATGAATGTAATTACAAAGCAGACTCTACTATTGGGTAACAGTGTGTGTGACGTCTATAATATAAAGGCCTCTGTAGGTGGCATTTCAAGTGGCTGCTTTTTAACATAGTGTTGCTTTTTTGAGCAGAATTGTGGGCTGTCCTGACCACACTTTCTTATAACCCCAGGAGGCAGGATCTCTCCTACTCCATGAAACAGGAGAACATTCTTTGGTGCCAGCTTGAATTTACATTCTCATATGCTGCAATTTGAGCCCCACTCTACCTTGTATTATCGCCCAGACCAGTCAGCTCAACATTCTATCTAATAGATTCCCTTGAGACGGGATGTGTAATCAATTGTAGAACCAATACATTTCACTCTTTGGGCAAAATCTGTTAGCATACCAGGTGGCTCCAAATACTCCACTATTTGAGGACTTCACATCTAACTGGAGTAGTCAGGAGCCGGGAAATGGGTGGGAACTCATGTCAGAGACAGCATCTTAAAGAAATGGCCTTTCAAGGATGAGTAAGATTTAAATTTGTAGATGCAAAAATGGTGGCTATTCTAGATGAAAATAATATCATTTGTTTCATTCTGTAGCATAAAGAGTTTACCCTTCCAGTTTTCCAAGTTTCTTTTCAACTTCGCTTCTTGGAGTGCAATCTCCATGAAAATTCAACTTACTTTTTGAAATGCTGTACAATCTCCGAGATTTATCTAAATTTACCCTACTTACCCAAACCAGATGGCACAAGTTTCTATCATGTTAGATCACTAAAGGTATTTCCGTTCCCTCCTTTCACCTAACAGGATAACAGGTCTCCCACATGCTACTGGGCTAATACCCGCAAGAGTTCAACCCTACCCTCCCAAATTTGATTTCTAGCTTTCCCTTTTATCCAGCGAATCCCCGTCAGAATACAGAAGCCAACCCCCACCCCGCCCGCCGTCCCCCCCCACGATCTTCAGTCTCACCTAAACCCTTTCCCTCACTTACGCCCTTCCTTGCTTTGACACCCTATTCTTGGTTCTCCTCCTCTGCTGATCATTCCTTCTCAGGCCCCTTTCCCTCTGGCCCTTGAGTGTTCCCCACAGGGCTCCGACTTTGACCCTAATATTTCTCATGTTACATACTTACACGGGGGAACTGCCTGAGGGTCCTCAGAACTGCAGAATACCTTATTTGAGGTAAGCAAGCCCCATAACGGACTATCACTAGCTCAGAGACATTTTTCAGCCTTGAATAAAATCAGCCCGCAGGGACAAAAAAAAATGGGGAAAACTTCGTTAGGGAAACTTCCAGCGACCTTAACTGCTCAGGAGGTAGGGATCCTAACAGGAAAACCTTGTCAGGAGTCTCCATTGAAACCTCCGGGTTTTTGTTTTGTTCTGAATAGGAGCACGTGCCTTGAAAAGATTAGCACCCCTTGAGCTTGTTTTCTGAGACAGCCTCTTTGTCCGAATCCACCTTAGACTGGAAGCGCCAAGTGGGCAGGACAAGCACCCAGTCCAGGGAACAGCCCAGGGACCAGCCAAGGCCCGCCCTAGGCGGTTTTGGGGCCGTTGTCGGGTGCCGGCTGCGGGAGTTGAGGTCCCGGGGGAGGGGGCAGACACGCGGTACACACTGAGGGCGGGACACGGGCGTTCCTTCCCGGTTCCACCCGAGCCCGTAGAGAACGTAAACACCCTCCCGGCCTAGAGGCCCCGGGACCGGGTGGGCGGGGGGGGGGGGGTGGAAATGCTTGGGCCGCGCAGCCGCAGTGTGGAGGCTCGAGCCCCGCTCTTACGTCACGTGGAGCCCCGCCCTTAGGTGGAGCGGCGGGAGCGCGCAAGGTTCTGTCACGCAGGCGCGTTCGCGCGGCGTAGGTGGTGCTAGAGGCGACTCGGGGGATTCTAGGGCGACGGCGCTGCCGCCATTTTGTGGGGTGTTTGTCGCAGCGGCCGAGGAGGGAAGACGGCAGTTTGGCGACATTTCTCGGCCGAAGGGCCATTTGCTTTTGCGGAGGTAGGGTTGCAGATGGTGTGTGCTGGGACAGGCGGCTGTCGGTCTTTAGGTCTCCGAGCCAGGTGTCGGAGAAACGACCGCGTTAGGGGCCTGGGCTTCTGGAGCTGAGTTGGGAGTTCTGCGAGGCGCTGCTCGGCTGGTGCACGCCGGCAGCACCGAAAGTTGCTCGGGCGTCGCGGTTCTGCCGCTGACCCTTCTCTGAGGGCCCTGGCCGCTCGCGTCGCGGCTCCGGAGGCCGTGGGCTCGCGGTCCCCTGCTGCCTGGCGAGCGCGGCTGTTGGTTAACCCTGTCGGGACCTCTTCCAGCCGGCGGGCGCTAGGACCTGTCGGGAGACCCTTCGAGAGCCGTCTCTGGCATTCGTGTTGTCGGAGATCAAGTCTTCCCCTGGATTCCTGGCCTGGGCCGTTTGTAGCGTTTCGGGGGTTTTCCAGAGTCAAGCATTTGCCCCTGTCTTGAGTGCGCCAAAGGCACTGGCCGGGTGCCCAGGAGCCGGGAGGTGGGGACCGGGCGTCCGTGCAAATCCAGGTGGTTGAGGGCAGTAGCTGCTTGTGAGAGGTGGAAATTTGCGGAGGCTAGTCCTCTGTGCTATGCTGAACACAACATTGTTGCAGCGAACCTGCGTTTCTGGTGGTTTTGCATCTTATTATCCCTGGTTGCCTAAATAGTCCAGATAGGCTTATCCGATCCTTAGGAAACCGCCCCGCAAACTGAACTCGCCAGCCACTTTGTCTTGCCTCATAGCTGTCCTGTGCGATTGTGCTTTTTACACACCCCTACAGGCTTGTAACCCATTAAATGCAGTCCTCTTGGAGCCATCCAATCCTAAACTTATAACCTGTTTCGATGTTTTTAAGCCATGTACGTAGCGTAAAGTTGTCAAGAACTACAGGATCTTAAGGGCAGTGGCGATGGATCTACATATGAGATCCATTGTGTCATTATTTTTTGAAAGATACCTACTCTAGCATGTGGGATGCTTTATTAGAGGCAGTGTCATGATTCTAGATAGCTTTTCTTTTTTATGTATGCGAAGGAACCTTACCACGTAGAACGTGGGTCGGGTGATCTTTGTGCCTCCAGATAAAATATTTTTGAACATTGCAGGGTGAGTGGGGGAGGTCAGAGGCTGGGACTAACAGCTGAATTACATTTGAAGTAGTGAACTTGAGAAGAATTTTGGACTCTCACAACGGAGCTCGTTCTTATTTTAATGTTTGCATATTAACTGATAATTTGAGAGTTCTGTTTTGCTGGAGGTTAGCTGGTTGTAAGCAGACTTACAGTAGAAGAGGAAAAAACAAAACTGAAGAAGATACATAAGTCTTGAAAAAAACTTCATAGTAATGGAGGGTCATAATAATAACGCTCGGTCATCAGATGTGATTTTGCTTGCTATGATTTAAAAATGCTTAACCAAGCTGAGTTCCTGATGTGGTTAAAATACAACTTTGGTATTTGACGGAACGCTTCAGAAGAACTGCACTTGAAATACACATTTTCTTTTTTTTTTTTTTTTTTTTTTTGAGACAGGGTCTCACTGTCGCCCATACTGGTATGCAATGGCGTGATCATGGCTCACTGCAGCCTTGACTTCCTTGGGCTCCAGTGATTGTCCCAGTAGGTGGGACTACAGGCTCGAGTCACCATGTGCGGCTAATTTTTTGTATTTTTTGTAAAGGCAGGGTTTCGCCGTGTTGCCCAGGCCAGTCTCGAATTCCTGGGCTCAAGGGATGAGGCGCCACTGCGTCCAGCCATAAATTTTTCTTGATAGCTCTAATGAAGAAAGTTTGTGTTTTGGCCTTTTGCCTCAAGTAAATGTGTGCTGTTATTCATGTCACGTTCCCATATGGAAGTGACTCCATTTGTATCAAACCGGAATGCTCACTTCCATTGAGACGCTAACAAGAGTTTTAGAATTGCTGTTTGGCCTGATCAGTGCCTTCTCTTCCTCTGTAAAGTGAGCTGAGAGCCACCTTAGAAGGATGCTTGATGGGTATAGAATTAGAATCAGCAAGAGAGTGAATTAAAATATCTGACTATCTGGTGGCAATCAGACTCTGATGGCGTGACACATACTTTCTTGTGGAATACCTCCCAGAAGAATTGAAGCTGCCTCACTCCAAAACCTTTAATCCATTTAAAATCATTTAAATTTCTGCTTGCATTTGTTTGCTTATTAGTCATTTGGGCAAGCTGAATGAGGTTAACTGAGTGGGTTTTACTCCATTTTAGCTTTTTTCAGCTCCTTGCTGAATTGTGAAATTCTTCTCTTTTTACCATTTAAACTCACCCTGTTTAGGAGAATTTGGACCTGACTGTTAAAACTTAACTGTTTTGGAAAATAATTAAGATGGGGAGAGACAGATAGGGGTTATATTGTTTGAGCGCAGATGCTGAGCCTGGAAGGAACCCAGGTTATGCACTGGAGTTTGTAAATAAAGTCAGCTGTCACCGTTATCGTTTGCTTTCACTGTGACCATGCTTCAGTGTGCATCCTTGTAGGTTGAGTTCTTTTTCAGAGTTACTCCAGATTTACTACAAATAGATTTTAAGGTTAAGAATAACTGCTGGATAAGAAAATGAACTTGTTGGATAGAGAAAATGAGTTCATAAAATCACATAAACATTTAAAAAAATTTTTTTTGTAGAGACAGTTTCACTATGTGTAGCGCAGGCTGGTCTCAGACTCCTGGGCTTGGCCTCCCAAAATTCTGGGATTACAGGCATGAGCCACCGTACCCGGCCTAAAATCACCTTTTTATATCTCTTCAGTTTCTCTGTTGAATATTGTGTTCTATCCACACAGAACTAATATTCTCAAAGCTTAGAGTCATTCTGAGATTTAGAGAAAAGAACTATGGAGAATTTGAGAAAAAGAAGCTTCATCATTGAATAGCTCTTTACCATTAAAACAAAGTCACCTCCCATATTTAGTATCCCTAAGTGTTTTTGTCTTGCACTTCAGTTATTTGTATTACAGTACTTTGCCAAAGCTGCATGACACTGATATTATTTCTCCTTAAATCAGCTCACATTTTAATGTTAACATTTTTAAAAGAAAATATGTCAATAACTTAATTGGAAAATCACTAATAAGTAGAAAGTAACAAAATAAGATAAATAAAAACGTTACTAATTTTTAGCTAAATACTCTTGTCTGCTGGAAACACTAGGCCTGAACCTTTTTATTTGCCCCCCCCGGCTTTTTTTTAATTTTTAAAAAGGCAGTTAGCAAGTGTTAGTTGAAGACAAGCACCAAGCTGAGAATTTGTCCTGGCTGTAATCAGAATTCAAAAAAAAAAAATGTCTTAAGGTATCAGTATTACCCACAATTTAATACTAGATCTCTATGCCTCTTAGCAGTCATCTGACATACCAGTGCCTTGGGAAGCATTACCACCTAAAAAGATTTTGGAGCCTGTAAGACCCTGTGTGTTGGGTTTTGATAACTTAAATAATATTAATATATAATAATTTACCTATCACACATCTGTAACCTCCACAATTCCCTTTTCATTTCTATCAACAGATGCGGCATTCCAAAAGAACTCACTGTCCTGATTGGGATAGCAGAGAAAGCTGGGGACATGAAAGCTATCGTGGAAGTCACAAGCGGAAGAGGAGATCTCATAGTAGCACACAAGAGAACAGGCATTGTAAACCACATCACCAGTTTAAAGAATCTGATTGGTAAATTAACTCTTGAACTACTAGCATTTTAGCTCTAATAGTTTTAAATGATTTGTCATTTGCTTATATAGCTTTCATCTGTCAAATTGTTTTATAATTCAGTCAACAAATATTCGTTTAGAAAATATTTGAGTACTTATTTTAGATAGGCGCTGAGGCTACAGCTGTAAATAAAACAAAGTTCTTATCCTTATGTATGTCTGTCTGCCTGGGAGTGGTAGGAGACAGTTGATCAGTAAGTGAATGTGAAATGTATTAAATAACATGGTGAGTCCCAACTGCCAGTAACGTGATTAGGGAGATGACACACAAAAAGTTAAGTAATAGTGATAGAATGCCCAATGAGTACCTTTAACTTGTATGTAGGAGGGAGATGGGTATGTTGTAGTGCTCATTGTTTCAGAAATAAGGTAGGGTTTTATAGGGGAGGAGTTATTCCAACAGAGAAAAGCAGCATGTATTATTAGTCACTTATACCATGTCGTACAGGTTATATTTGTAGATGAGGCCAAGGGATATGTTTGGGATTTTTAGAAGCTGGCTTTATTTAAGAACTATTCTTTTGCATAGGTAGTAGCTAGTAATTTGGGAAATGGCCTCAATAAAAACTTGCAACAGCATGTGTGCTGTTTTATTGTATTCTTACCAGTGTACAATTTGGAGGTAATATATTTATATAGAATTAAAGGAATCTTAAAGTTCTAAATGATTAAAGAAAGGCTAGGTAAGTTTTCACTCTTTCATTAATTTCCCTTTTTCGTTTGTTTTGTTGGTTCTGTTTTCTCGTTTTGTGCAGATGTTCCATTGGGACTGTTTACCAGATTGCTTTCTAAATTAGCCAGCTGGGGTTACTTTAAAAAACAGTATGTAATTTCTTTCCTTCTCCACGTTAACAGACTTGTTCTGCCAAACAGCTTATTTGTAGTCAGTGCAGACAAATCATGCTTCATACGCATTGTTATATAAGGGGAAGGGGGAAGGTTTATGACAGGATTTCAGAGACCAGAGATAATTAATAATTAATGTACAGTACACTAAAAAAAACCATCTGTACCCCACTATTAATAAATACAAAAAACCCTAAGGCTTAACGTCATAGTACTGGTTATTCATAGGATAATTATACGTTGTATATATAGAAAGGAAGTGATATGAGTGATGAACAGTTCATTTGTGCTCATAGTTAACTACGTAAACATGATACTGAGTCCAGTTAACCACCAGGCCAGTGCCTGCTTTGATATTTGTACCAGATGTGTTTGGTGGTCAGCGTTTACCATGATCCAGAATATTCTAATTTTTGAAGGTCAAAAACTTTGAGTGTTTTTATAAAATAACAAAAAACTGAAAAATGCAGAAAAGTATAAAGATGGTAATCTCTGTAGGAAATTAGTCCCCATTATTTAGCTGTAAAATTATAATTAAAAAAAAAATCTTTGTTTCTAAATCTTTGCCACTGATTATTTCCTGAAAATACACTCCAGGAAGAAGCATTTTTAAGTTAAAGCATGTGAACTCTTATTTCTTGCTACAGGTTCATATTTCTTTTTCTAGAGAGTTTGCCAAATTATACAACGTGCTCCTTCATGCTCTCACCAATCTTGGCTGTTTTGAAAGGCCAAGCATAATGTTTTGATTAAACTGAATTTTTAAATTTCTAACGAATTTGTCCGCTGTCATATATTTATTGATCATTTGAACATCTTTTTATTCTTAGCCTATTTATTAAAGTATTTTTATTGATTTAGAAGAGCTTTTTATTACAATATTTTAACCATTTGTCATATATATATTGCATAGTGTCTTTTCTTTATGATTTGTCTTTTGGAGGTAGCCTGTGAATTGGTCTCCCTTTCTACAGGCTTAGTTAATCCATTCTGCATTAGAAAGACTGATGTGGCTGTAAACCCTACCTTTATATATTGTGGTCAGAAGCCTGTAACATAAAGTATCAAGTCTTAAACCAGTGATTCTCCAACTTTAGTGTGAATAAGAATCACCTTGGAGGTATGCTGACCAGATTTACAGTCAGTGAGTATGACCTAAGGCCCAGGGTTACCATTTTTAATAAGAACTCCATATTTGATACTGTTGATAAATAGACCGTCCTTTGAGAAATAATACTCTTTAGCCTAGCACGCAGGGTTTTTAATGATGCTATTCTCAGCTTACTTATTTGTCTACATTCCCCTATGTGAAAATTGCTCTTGCTGGGATTGTCTTTTTCCTGAGTAATGCATAGACAATTCCATCTCTAAGCCATTGTGGCTAAAAGTGCCATATGAATTTAAGATGGTAATATGCCATTCTTCTCCCCCGGAATTTCTTCTGTATTCTACTTTTTCCAAATCCTGGCTTCCCTTTAAGATGCAACTCTATTTCCATCTTTTTTGTAATTATTCTCTGACCATTTTAAACAGATTTTTTCCCCCATCTCTGACTCTAAGCACTCATGTGTTGTAACCTTTTAGAATTTCCTACATTGTTGGATTTTGTTTCATTTTTATGTGAGTAATCTCAAATTGTTCATTATTTGTTGGCAGGGACTTTGCCTTATATAATTTTTTTTTTATCTCCCACAGGACCTGTGTGGATATAAAAACGAATGCCCTTACCCTCATCCGTCTTGGCTATTTGAAAGGCTATAGTGAAATATTCACTGGGCATTCAGTGGATATTTTAAAAAATTAAATCAGTCTGTTCATCCTGTCTACCCTGTCCATAGCCTGTGTAATTCTGTAGACTTTGTTTATATAATCTCTCAGCCTTGGTCATTGGCCATTATCTATTGAAGAGACTCTCATCCTTTTAGTTTGTCCTCATGGTGTTCACTCCATGTTTTGTTACTCTATACGTTGTTTATGGCTTAGCAGCTCTAATTCCATGCAGTATTCCAGCTAAAGATTGTTAGTGCTAGTTTTTTCTAATAGAAGGATTTTGGACTTTTATGGGAAGGATGCCCTTAAGAGTATGGTCACGTCTAGCTTATTGTATTGGTGATCTCTCCCTGACAGTTCCAAGCCAACTGATCAGATATCTGACCTAGACTACCCACAGTCTTACCCAAATATCCTGAGTTGTTTCTCCAATAAATACAACTTAAAGCTGATGCTAGGGAAAGAGAACCGGGTTTCTGTATCTCCCCAGCCTGGATTTGATGCTAGCCCTATTGGGTAGTAGTTGTAAAGATGCTTCTATTTCTGCCTAAACCAGCCCCCTGGGAAAAAGAATGACAGCATATTCTGGGGAAAGGAAAGGGGTTGGTGAGGGCAATCTAGTCAACATCCGTCACTCCATTGCTTGTTAGGCTTATTTTAGCCGATGTGTCTGACTGGGCAGGTGTCCCCTCTCTCCCTCAGTGCTCCATGTGCATCCCTCTTGAAGCTTCGCACTCTGTTGAAGAGGACACTCATCCCAGGTAGAGAGGGGGACGGGAAACTGGGCCAATTGAATCTATGTCCTTT